>NC_000007.14:145064440-145215955 GCF_000001405.40 Homo sapiens
AATATTTAAGAACTTTCTTATGACTGATTATTCAGTGCAAAAGATAGTTATAACTTGAAGCAGCTTATAATATAGCATATATTGCTAATTCTGCAAATGAAAGTTGAATGCAATTTGAAATTGAGCATATCTTGAAAAATGAAAAAAATGTTCTTAAAGGTGACCACACTTAAGTCTACTATGAAGGACATTTAAAATGCAGAAACTTGAAGTATGCAGTTAGAAATTCAAAATCAAAACACATAGACATAACTAAATTTTCATTTATGCCCTTTAGTTTTTTCACTTCTTTGATATTGATATTGTTTAATTGAGCAAAGTAGTAACATAAAATTTCAAAGCAAAAACAGTTGCATTTGAGAAAAAAAACTTCTCCATTTTGTTTCTTAAAATATAATATTTGGATATTTGGATAAAGTTAAAAATAAAATTAATAGATATTGATTAAATAACCTGATTTTTTGAGTTCTCTAGAGTAGAATGCATTTTTGGACCCATCAACACTCAACCATATTGTTGAAAAGATTACTTAACATTCTTTAAAAAATGGAATTTACTTTTGTGTGTATGGGACAATAGCATTGCTATATTTTTCTTTCTTTCTTTTTTTTTTTTTAAATAAGCCATCATTTGCCTATGAGCTGAAAGACAAATTTGAATGTGAACTTAAAGTTTTCTCTTATTATAAGGTGCTTTGTAAAAAGGGAAATAATTGATATGTAGAAGTTTTAAGGAACACTCCAAATTCATAGGGAAATAAACAGTCAACACAAACAAGTACTACAGGATTTTGAATATCTGTCTTATGTTCAGTATAAACCTTTGTTGACCTTATATAAATGACTTATTACACAATATGTTGATAAAATATCCTTCCTCTGTAGGTTGTTGTTAAAAACTGAATGGTGATACAGGGCGAAGACTATGTTTCCTCATTGCTATGCATGGTTTAAAAACACCCACTAACAGGGAGATCTGCTAAACTGCCTGCTAAAATCTTTCCCAAAGATTGTTTGGTTTCAAACTGCATTTAATGCTGAAATGAAACATATTCCACGTCCAGGGAAATTGTTCTGGTGATGAAGCCTTTCAAAGCTTAAAAGAGTGTTGAAAAAGAAACCTGCCCGCCTTCTAGAATTAGACTGGATGAAGGTAATTGAGTCAAATGGCAGTTTTATCCCCAAGTGAAATTACTTCCACTGCACAGGGCATAAGGCATCTGAAGATTTATCTGACATTCCTGATACCTCAGCAGTGACACTGATATTGGATGACATATTTGGCATAAGGGAAGGATCATTTCTCTTTAGAACACTCTATATTTTTTAGTTAAATGATCATTGCTAGATGCATCCTCTTCATGAATATAAATTACTAGCCCAGCAAAGGACTTAGATTTGTATGCTGTCTTTTACTATGAAGGATTTTTAAGGGTGCAGTGAACCCATTTTACATTGCCACTAGACATATTTGGGGATTGCTTTATCTAGCACTGCAACATTGTCCTTAGGTAACAGTATATTATAGTCAGGATGTAGCTCGGTAAATACAACAGCTTTTATCCTCACTGTGGAGGTCATTTTTTTTTCTTTCTTAACTAGGCATGTTGTCAGCAGAATTCTGCACACCCAAACTCTTTACTAATGGGCTATGGTAATTATCCATATTTTAATCAATGCCCTATTTAGAATCGCTTGACGTATATGCTTATGCTTGATTTTGTATTTCCTGTTTGGCATTATTATTCAAACTCAGTGTGATTTCTAAATAACAGAGTACACCCCAATGGCTACATTTCTCACTGGAATATAAGCTCCATGAGGGCAAATATTTTGTCTATTTTATTCACTGTGTATCCCAGTGTCTCAATCAAACAGTGCTTGGTACATAACAGGTGTCCCATAAATGTTTTTTGACTGACTGAATTAATGGTATGGATGAGCAAAGAAATAGATATTTACAATAATATCTATTAAAATAATATACAATAATGGACTAATTTCAAACTTTATGAGTAATGTGACAAATATGAAAGAAATTTCACAGAACTAACAACTAAGTGGGAAAAATCTAATAGCTTCTCCGCTCTAATGGACATTTGTTTTGCCTTTTGCCACTCAGTGTCTTCTGAAAACCCCTCTTACGTTCAGAACACTCTCAAGTGAGAGTCTCATTTCTGATTTTCTACAATTTGAATCCTGTATCCCTCTATAAATAATATGAATATTATTTATACTATTATCCTACAGAATAAATAGTATATTACTATTAATATACTACTATATAATAGTATATTATGTAACAAATTACAGTTAATACAGTTAATTGTCATTGCATATTATAGTAATTAATATACTATTATATAACATGCAATGACAATTTACTATACTATAGTTAATATACTATATAATAGTACATATATACTATATAGTATCATATATAGTATATATGATACTATATATGATACTATATGATAGTATATATGTACTATTATATAATATGCAATGTATATATAATATGTATTATATAATATGCAATAATATAATAGTATAAATATATGATTATATAATATGCAATGAAAATTAACTGTATTAACTGTAATTTATTAACTATAAATTATCATTATTTTATATTTTCTAATGATCAGTCTATATTTTATAGTTTTCTAGGAATTTGCCCATTTTGTCTAAGTTTTTAGAGGTATAGGCATTAAGGTGGTAAAAACTTCCCTGTGTCTTTATATAATAATTATATACTATACTACTATATATACACTAGTAAATATACTATACTATAATATATAAAATATAATGTATAATATAATATAGTATATACTATATATAATATGTAATATAACATAGTATATACTATATATAATATGTGATATAACATAGTATATACTATATATAATATGTGATATAGTATATACTATTATATACAGACTAGTATATATAATACTGTTATATATGGTAATGCTAATTATAATATGTAATATACTTTATATTATAAAATATATAACATATATGTAATATATAATATAATTAATAGTGAATATATAATATAGTATAATATGTAATATAATATATACTATAATATATAATGTATTATATATTAATATACACATATATAAACATTAACATATATAAAAGATATTAATATACACTAGTATATATAATAGTATAATATCTTTTCTATAAATGTTGAAAGAATAATCTTTTCTCAGTTATATTTTTGGATTTTAAACAATTCTAGCATTCTTAGAACACATTTTATTTTGGCATTATATATTTTCTTTTCATATGATGAATATATTTTGGTAATACTTTGTTTAGGAACTTTGCACCATATTCAATATTGAGATTGGCTTTGAATTTTCCTGTTTCCTATTGTCTGTATCTGGTTTTCTGTTTTGGTTATATAAGCCTTGTAGATTGAGTTGGGGAGTGGTTCCTGTTTCACTAGTCTTTTAAAGAGTTTGAGGAAAACTTTGATCTTTTCCTTTAAGGTTTGATCAAACTCACCTGCAACAGCATCTGACCTTTGGTATTTTCTTTGGGACAAGATTTTTTAAAACAAATTAATTTATTAACTGTAAATTATCAAGATTTTATATTTTCTCATGATCAGTGTTTATATTTTCTAGTTTTCTAGGAATTTGCCCTTTTTTTTTCTAAGTTTTTAGATGTATAGGCATTAAGGTGATAAAAATTTCCTCATGTCTATATATTTTTTGCTTTTATAAGGTATTGAGATATAATTGGCTTTCACTACATTTCACATATTTCAAGTGTACAGTTGAATTTTGACGTATGTATGCACCTATGAAACAATCATCACAATCAAGGTAATAAACCTTTCCCTTGCTCCTTAAAGCTTCATTGCGCCCCCAGATGATCAGCTCCAAAAAAAAAAAAAAGCCTATTGGAATTTTGATTGGCCTTCCGTTAAATTTATATTTGGGGAGAATTACCATCTTAATAAAATTGAGTTTTCTAGTTCATGAATATGATATAGGTTGCCATGGATCTAGGTCTTTTTTTCTGCAATGTTTTATAGTTTTCAATATAAAAGTCTTGAAAATATTTTGTCAGATTTATTTCTACTGGGGCTCAGAAAATCATATACCAAAGTATGGCCCTTTGGTATGCTGAGTACTTTGGACTGAAGGACATTGGAAGGGCCTGAGAAACAAAGTCCCTTTCTGGCCTTCTCCTGTTTTTCTTTCTTCTGCTTCCCTTCCCCCAACCCCAAGGCAGGTCATAAAAACTAGAATTCCTCTTCTCCAAGGTGGGTTACAGAAACCAGAACCCCTCTTCCCTAAAGTCAGCCATAAAACCTAGATATATTCTTTTAACCTTCCCCCACCTTGCTGTGTAGGAGCTGGCCATGAAGAAATTCTGACCTCCCTTCTCTAGTAGTAGATCATAAGACTCTCATTTCAGAAGGGGTCCTGCCCTATACCTCGGACAAAGAAATCATGCACAGAAAGGCCAAGAGTAATCTAAACAGGCCTTCCTGTGTTATCCCACTCAGTCTATTACAATTAGATCATTTGTTCAATTACATTTCTGCATGGCTGCCCGTTCTTCCTTCTTCATCAAACCTAAGCATAAAAACAGTTAGTTTTCCCTAGGTCTTTGGATTTTTATTTCTGAAGGCTGCAGTGTGATATAGAAGTTGATTAAATACATTTGTTATGCTTTCCTCTTGTTAACCTCTTTTATTATAGGAATGTCAGCTGTGACCCTTATCATGCGGAAGAAAGGTGTCAAATCTTTTCTGCCTCACATTCTTTTTCTTTTTTTTTTAATCAGGAAAATCCAATTTTTTTTATTATGCTTTAAGTTCTAGGGTACATGTGCACAATGTGCAGGTTTATTACATATGTATACATGTGCCATGTTGGTGTGCTGCACCCATTAACTCGTCATTTACATTAGGTATATCTCCTAATGCTATCCCTCCCCCCTCCCCCACCCCACAACAGGCCCCAGTGTGTGATGTTCCCCTTCCTGTGTCCAAGTGTTCTTATTGTTCAATTCCCACCTATGAGTGAGAACATGCGGTGTTTGGTTTTTTGTCCTTGCGATAGTTTGCTGAGAATGATGGTTTCCAGCTTCATCCATGTCCCTACAAAGGACATGAACTCATCCTTTTTTATGGCTGCATAGTATTCCATGGTGTATATGTGCCACATTTTCTTAATCCAGTCTAACATTGATGGACATTTGGGTTGGTTCCAAGTCTTTGCTATTGTGAATGGTGCCGCAATAAACATACCTTTGACAAACCTGACAAAAACAAGAAATGGGGAAAGGATGCCCTATTTAATAAATGGTGCTGGGAAAACTGGCAAGCTATGTGTAGAAAGCTGAAACTGGATCCCTTCCTTACACCTTATACAAAAATTAATTCAAGATGGATTAAATATTTAAATGTCAGACCTAAAACCATAAAAACCCTAGAAGAAAACCTAGGCAATACCATTCAGGACATAGGCATGGGCACGGACTTCATGTCTAAAACACCAAAAGCAATGGCAACAAAAGCCAAAATTGACAAATGGGATCTAATTAAACTAAAGAGCTTCTGCACAGCAAAAGAAACTACCATCAGAGTGAACAGGCAACCTACAGAATGAGAGAAAATTTTTGCAATCTACTCATCTGACAAAGTGCTAATATCCAGAATCTACAAAGAACTCAGACAAATTTACAAGAAAAAAACAACCCCATCAACAAGTGGGCGAAGGATATGAACAGACACATCTCAAAAGAAGACATTTATGCAGCCAAAAGACACATGAAAAAATGCTCATCATCACTGGCCATCAGAGAAATGCAAATCAAAACCACGATGAGATACCATCTCACACCAGTCAGAATGGTGATCATTAAAAAGTCAGGAAACAACAGATGCTGGAGAGGATGTGGAGAAATAGGAACACTTTTACACTGTTGGTGGGACTGTAAACTAGTTCAACCATTGTGGAAGACAGTGTGGCGATTCCTCAAGGATCTAGAACTAGAAATACCATTTGACCCAACCATCCCATTACTGGGTATATACCCAAAGGATTATAAATCATGCTGCTATAAAGACATGCTCACATTCTGAAATATTTAATGTTTTGTGGTGTCATTGTAATGGAATTACTTTTTAAATTTTATTTTCAAATTGTTTGCTACTAGGATGTAAGAAAACGATTGATTTTTGCTAAATTTACTTTTTAATGCTAATAATAGTTTTGTAGATTCTCTGGCATCTTCTTTTTATACGTCTATATTATGTGCTAATAGCAATAGTTTACTTTGTTTTTATGTTTCGTCATTTTTTTTATTGCCATATAACATTGGTTAGGACCTTTGGTACTGATATGGTTTGTCTGTGTCCCCACCCAAAACTCATCTTGAACTGTAAGCCCCATAATCCCCACATGTTGAAGAAGGAGCCCGGTGGGAGGTGATTGGATCATGGGGGCAGTTTCCCCCATGCTGTTCTCATGATTGTAAGTGAGTTCTCATAAGATCTGATGGTTTTATAAGTGTTTGACAGTTCCTCCTTCACGTGCTAACTCCCTCCTGGGACCTTCTGAAGAAAGTGTCTGCTTACCCTTTCCCTTCCCCTTTTGCCATGATTGTAAGTTTCCTGAGGCCTCCTAGCCATGCTTCCAGTTAAGCCTGAAGAACTGTGAGTCAATTAAACCTCTTTCCTTTATAATTGCCTAGTCTCAGGTAGTTTTTTTTAATAGCAGTGTGAGAATGAACTAATACAGATAACTATGTTAACTAGAAATTGTAAAAGGGTAAATCTTCGCCTTTTCCCCATTTCTAGAGGGAAACAATTCATTACTATTACATATGATATTAGCTGTAGGTGTGTCAGTTTGAGGTATATTCCTACTATTCCTAATTTGCTAAGGGTTTTTTTTCCTATCATAAATGAATGTGAAATCCTGTTCAATGCTTTTTCTGACAAAATATTTATATGCATTTTCTCCTTTATGTTAATATGGTGACTTATGTTGATAGCTTTTTGAATGCCTCACCAACTTTGCATTCTCTAATAAATTCAACCTGGTCATAATTTGCTATCTACTGTATTGAATTTAATTTGTATCATTTTAAAAGCGTTTTGGAATCTATATTTATGAGGAATATTTTTCTCCATTTTTTTTGGAGACAAATGATATTAAGGTTATGTTACTTTCTCCTTTTTTAAACTTTTCTGAAAAAATTTATGTTAAACGTTTCCTTGAATGTTTGATAGAATAAACCACCAGAAGAATATGGGCCTGAAGTTTTATTTTTGAGAGTTTTCTTTCTGATCTGTCTTGGTGAATGTACTATGAGTGCTTGAAAAGAATGAATGTTCTGCTGTTGTTGGATGCAGTGTTCAATAAATGTTAGTTAGATCGAGGTGGTTGATGAGGTTGTTCAGACCTAAGCTTTACTAATGTTTCATCTACTTTTCCTATAAATTGCTGGGAGAATGGTGTTAACACTCTTTCTATAGTTGTGGAATTATCTATTTATATCTTTAATACTTTCATTTTTATCTTTCTTATAATTTGGGGCTTTTAAAATTAGGTATATGTATTTATAATTGTTAGACTTTCCTCGTGAATTATACCCTTTATGATTAGTAAATGTTTCTCTTTGTCTCTGGTGTTACTCTTTGTATTGAGTTCTATTTCATTTAATATTAGTACAGCTACTCTAGAGGGAGGAATATACAGCCTTCTTGTGTTTGCAGTTGTGCACTGTAAACATCTTTTTTTTGGTATCTACTCTCAACCATCTTTTTCTATTCTTATATTAAAATATGTCTCTTGTGAGCAGCATGTAATTAAGATTTGTGTTTTTTTCTGTCCTTTCTGTCAATCTCTGCTTTGTTTTTTTTTTTCTCATCAAGTCTTGGCATAAATCTCTGCCGTTTAGGTGAATTGTTGAGACCAATAACATTTATTCTAACTTTTGATATGGTTGGATTTAGGTATGCCATTCTATTTTTGTTTCTTTATTTGTCCCCTGTATTTTTTTGTTTCTATTTTCTTGCTTTCTTTTGTATTATTTAAACATTGTTTGAATTCTGTGCTAATGCTTATATTAGATTTTGTTACTAATTTTTATTGTATTATAATAAAATCTATATAACTAACTTTGTAATATAATTTGAAATCAGAAAATGTGATGCCTTGAGCTTTGTTCTTTTTTCTCAAGATTGCTTTGGCTATTTATGGCCTTTTGTAATTCTATATAAATTTTAGAATTTTTTTTTCGATTTCTGTGAAAAATGCTGTATTAGTCTATTCTCACACTGCTAATGAAGACAAACCTGAAACTGGGTAATTTATAAAGGAAAGAGCTTTAATTGACTCACAGTTCCACATGACTGGGGAGCCCTCACAATCACAGTTGAAGGCAAATGAAGAGCAAAATCACGACTTACATAGCAGCAGGCAAGAGAGCTTGTGCAGGGAACTCCCATTTATAAAACCATCAGATCTCATGAGACTTATTCCCTATCAGGAAAACAGTATGGGGAAAACCACACTCATGATTCAATTGTCTCCACCTGACCCTGTCCTTGAAACATGGGGATTATTAGAATTCAAGGTGAGATGGGGGCGGGGGGGGGGGCACAGAGCCAAACCATATCAAATGCCATTGGAATTTTGATAGGGATTGTATTGAATCTGTGATTGTTTTGAGCAGTATGGACATACATGCACTAAGTTTTTAATTTCAGATTTTATCTTTATGTTCTAAAATTTCCATTTAGTTCTTTATATTTTCTATTTTTCTACTATGCCTTACCTACTTTTTTCATCAAAATAGCAAGGTGTTGTTTCTGAAAACCAAGTTTGGACTTACTTATTTCTCTATTGAATCTTTGTTTTCTGTTTCTTTAGTAAGGTTTCTTCCTCTATCCCATAGTACATATTTCTAATAGCTGCTTTAAAGGTTTTACCTGATTATTCTAACATTTGGAATATCTTGGAATTGGCTTGTGTAGATTTTTTTTTCTTGAGAACAGGCTACATGTACATGCTTATTTGTATGTTGAGTAATTTTGGATTTTATGTTGCATATTTTTAGTATTTTGCTGTATTGACTACAGATTAAGTTATGATCCTCTGGATAATGTTGATATTTTTATTCTAGTAGGCAATCAACACATTTAGTTTTCTGCAGTGAGGTTTGTCTCTCATTCTTTGTTTTGTGTTCAAACCTCAGTTAAATTTTCATATTATTCTGGTTTAAGTCTTTCATAGGCATGCACAGTTTATGAGTTGGGTGGATATTTGTGCGAGTTTATATATAACACTAGGGGATATTCTTCTTTGGCTCTGTATTAGTCTATTTTCACACAACTATAAAGACATACCTGAGATTGGGTAATTTATAAAGAAAAAAGGTCTAATTGACTCATGGTTATGCATGACTGGGGAGGCCTCAGGAAACTTATAGTCATGGCAGAAGGGGAAGCAGATACATCTTACATGCCAGCAGGTGAGAGAGCATGCTTGAGAGCACAGAAAAATCTACTGTTTATAAAACCATCAGATCTCGTGAGAATTCGCTCACTATCCCGAGAACAGCATGGGGGAAACTGTCCCCCTAATCCAATCACTTCCCACCAGATTCCTCCCTTAACACCTGGGGATTACAATTCAAGATGAGATTTGGGTGGGGATACAAAGCCTAACCATTTCAGGCTCTATCTCCTAAGATGTTTCCCCTCATTTCTCCTGTTCACAAGGGCCTTCCCTGCTTCTACTAGCAATAATTATAGTGGGATTTTTGTATTTGTATTAGCTGTTTGGGTAGCACTTATCTATGATTGTGACAAAACCTTCCAGGAAAGTCTTGTAGAGAAAAATCCTGAGAAAACTTATCCTCATGCAGGTTGCTTCCCCATATTTAGATGCCCTTGAACAATATTCATGCTTTTGTTTACTTTTCAGAGACTGTAGTTTATTTTAGATATTTTCTAGAATTTTTAATTAAAATCAGAGGAAGGAATGGGCCATAGGAGGCTTCCATCACTGTAGCAAAAGCAGAATTTTTGAGTTTTGTCTCTTACTTTTGCCATATCTATAATTTTGTCTCCTTTGTGACCAGATATTTTACTTATTTCTGTTTGTTTTTTAATGAAACTTGCAAGGTATTTGGTATCTTAGTAATTGCTTTAAAAAACCAAGTTTGACTGCATTTATTTCTCAACTGCATCTTTGTTTTCTGTTTTTCTAATTTCTGGTTTTATATTAATTATTATTTCCTTCTACTGTATTTAAGTGTTTCTTTTCATACATTTAAAAATTTTCTAAAATGAGGAATTTAGCTAATTAATTTCAACTTCTTTATATTAAGACATAAGCATTTAAACTTCTAAAGTTCTCCTTAAGCATTGTTTTTATTATACCCTATGAAATATAAAATGCAGCATCAAAAATATTATTTAGTTGTACTTTTATATTTGTATTAATTTTCTGTTGCATAAGTTATTTAGAAGTGTGTTTTGAAAATTTCAAATACAGGTCTTAGATACGTTATCTTTTATTATTTCTAGTTGAATTGCCTTGGAGTAAAGAAACTTTCTTCTCTGAAGTTTGCTTTATGATCAAATGTGTGGTAAATTATTATAAATTTGATACAAGTGAAGGAAAACTTACATAATGTTGGATATTCAGGTAATGGAATACCCAGTTGTTCTTGATGGTTATCAATTTAAAGTGAAAATGGGGATTAAACTCTTTGATTTCTCAATCAATTTTCAGATTTCTATTTAGAAGTCCAAAGAAAAATATAATGATGTTCATTCTGTTTTTAAACAAATAAATAACAAAAAGGAAGAGAAATATAGACAAAATTTGATAGTGTTTGCAAGACATATGAGGATGTGGATGGACTGCTGGGACATGGATGTAGGCTATGTTAGGAGGGAGTGTTGCGATGTGCAGGAGGATGGCTGCAGAGAGATGAGAGTGGAGACAATGAATTGGAATACAGGACGTATCGATCAAAGAGTATGATGTTTACATTGACGTTTCAGAGATAGTGGAGTTACTGCAATTGCAGTTCGTGGGTTGGAGAACAGATGGGTTGGAAAAAAACATTATTGCAGGTGATATAGGTAGTAAACTAAGAGAAAGAAGAGTGGCGAGGTCACCAGAAGGCACATTGAAGACACCAAGAATGACTACAACAACTGGGGAGAAATTCAAGGAAAGAAAAGATGAAAATGTTTTTAAATGATATGTGCCTACTAAAATACAGTATGTAACAAAAAATGAAGTGTGTCTCATTCATAAAATAAATGGGGTGACTGTTTAGAGAAGAGAAATATGCAGTGGAGTGTGTTAATCTCAAATGGGGAGCTCCAACATGCACAATGAAAAGGATCCTTGCCTCTGTCAACCCATCTTCCTTCTCCTCTTATATCTGCAATTCTTACACCAATCTCTGAACATTCATAATAATTTCCTTTCCCAATTGCTATGGTTTGGCTCTGTCCCCACCCAAATCTCCAAGTGAATTGTATCTCCCAGAATTCCCACGTGTTGTGGGAGGGACCCAGGGGGAGGTAATTGAATCATGGGGGCTGGTCTTTCCTGTGCTATTCTTGTCATAGTAAGTCTCACAATATCCGATGGGTTTATTAGGGGTTTCTGCTTTTGCTTCTTCCTCATTTTCCTTTTGCTGCTGCTATGTAAGAAGTGCCTTTTGCCTCCCACCATGATTCTGAGGACTCCCAAGCCATGTGGAACTGTAAGTCCAATTAAACTTCTTTTTCATCTCAGTCTCAGGTATGTCTTTATCAGCAGCATGAAAACAGACTAATACACCAACCTGCAATGATTATTACTTGCAAAGTTTTCTATATACTGTAGGAACCATGTTTTCCATATTTTATCAAGTAATGCTAATTAATATCTATTGATCTCATAGCATTTTTCTTTTAATTTTTAAATATTTAATTTAATATTTATTCATTTTGAATGTGTGCCAACTTGTATTACCAGTTAAGATCTAAGAACACTGAAGGCAAATGCCATACTATCATTTTGCTTTTATTTTGATAGCCCTTTGGGTATTTTTCGGTATATATAGGTACTACATGGATACTAAACAGTTCTTCAAATTTTTAAAACACTTTTCCTTTTTTAAAATGTTATTTTTTTTTTCTATCTTTTAAAAACATATGAGTAGGTTTTGGGGGAACAGGTGGTATTTGATTACATGGATAAGTTCTTGAGTGGTGATTTCTGAGATTTTGATGCACTCATCACCCAAGCAGTGCAAACTGTACCCACTGTGTAGTCTTTTATTCCTCACCTCCTCCCTTTCTTCCCCGTCCAGTCCCCAAAGTCCACTGTATTATTATTATGGTTTTGCAACCTCATAGGTTAGATCCCACTTATAAGTGAGACCATACGATGTTTGTTTTTTCATTCTGGAGTTATTTCACTTAGAATAATGGTCTCCAGCTCCATCCAGGTTGCTGTGAATGCCATTCATTTTTATGACCGAGAAGTATTCCATCATGGTGTGTGTGTGTGTGTGTGTGTGTGTGTAACATTTTCTTTATGCACTCGTTGATTGATGGGCATTTAGGCTGGTTCCATATTTTTGTAATTGTGAATTGTGCTGCTATAAACATGCGTTTGCAAATATCTTTTTCATATGATTACTTTTCCTCTGGGTAGATACCCGTAGTGGGATTGCGGGATCAAATGGTAGCTCTACTTTTCGTTCTTTAAGGAATCTCCATACTGCTTTCCATAGTGGATGTACTAGTTTACATTCCCACCAGCAGTGTGGAAGTATTGCCTTTTGACCACAACCACACCAACATCTATTATTTTTTTGAATTTTTGATAACAGGCATTCTTGCAGGAGTAAGGTGGTATTGCATTGTGGTTTTGATTTCCATTTCCCTGATAATTAGTGATGCTGAGCATTTTGTCGTATGCTTCTTGGCCATTTGTATATCTTCTTTTGAGAATTTTCTGTTCATGTCCTTAGCTCATTTTTGATGAGATTATATTTTTTTCCTGCTGATTTGTTTGAGTTCCTTGTAGATTCTGAATATTTGCCCTTGTCAGATGTGTAGACTGTGAAGATTTTCTCCCATTCTGTGAGTTGTATGTTTACTTTGCTGATTATTTCCTTTGATGTGCAGAAGCTTTTTAGTTTAATTAAGTCCCATCAATTTATCTTTTTGTTGCATTTGCTTTTGGGTTGTTGGTCATGAAGTCTTTGCCTAAACCAATGTCTAGAAGGGTTTTTTTTTTATGTTCTAAAACTTTTATGGTTTCAGATCTTAGATTTAAGTCTTTGATTCATCTTGAGTTGATTTTTGTGTAAGGTGAGAGATGAGGATCCAGTTTCATTCTTATAGATGTGGCTTGCCAATTATCCCAGCATCATTTGTTGAATTGTGTGTCATTTCCCCACTTTATGTTTTGGTTTGCTTTGTTGAAGATCGGTTAGCTGTAAGTACTTGGCTTTATTTCCGTGTTCTCTATTCTGTTTCATTGGTCTATGTGCCTATTTTATACAAGTACAATGCTGTTTTGGTGACTATAGCCTTATGGTAGAGTTTGAAGTCGGGTAATCTGATACCTTCAAATTTGGTCTTTTTGCTTAGTCTTGCTTTGGCTCTGTGGGCTCTTTTTCGGTTGCATATGAATTTTAGGATTTTGTTTTTTTAGTTCTGTGAAGAATTTGATGGGAATTGCATTGAATTTGTAGATTGCTTTTGGCAGTGTGGTCATTTCCATAATATTGATTCTATCCATCCTGAGCACAGGATGTGCTTCCATTTGTTTGAGTTGTCTATAATTTCTTTCAGCAGTGTTTTGTAGTTTTCCATCTAGAGGTCTTTCACCTTGGTTAGGTATATTCCTAAGTATTTTATTTTATTTTTGCATCTATTCGTAAAAGGGTTCGAGTTCTTGATTTGGTTCTCAGCTTGGTTGCTGTTGGTGTATAGCAGTGCTACTGATTTGTGTACATTGATTTTATATCATGAAATTGTACTAAATTCATTTATTAGATCTAGGGGCTTTTTGGGTGAGTCTTTAGGGTTTTCTAGGTATACAATCATATCATTGGTGAACAGCAACAGTTTAACTTCCTCTTTACCAATTTGAATGCCCTTTATTTATTTCTTTTATCTGATTGCTCTGGCTAGGACTTCCAGTGCTATGTGGAATAGAAGTGGCAAAAGTGGGCATCTTTGTTTTGTTCCAGTTCTCAAGGGAATGCTTTCAACTTTTCCCCTTTCAATATAATGTTTGCTGTGGGTTTGTCTTAGATGCTTTTGTTACCTTAAGGTATAATCCTTCTATGCTGATTTTGCTGAGGGTTTTAACCATAAAGAAATAACTAATTTTGTCAAATGCATTTTCTGCATCTATTGAGATGATCATGTGATTTTTGTTTTTAATTCTGTTTTTGTGGCATATCACATTTATTGACTTGTGTATGTGAAACCATCCCTGCATCCCTGGTATAAAACCTACTTGACCATGGTGCATTATCTTTTTGATATGCTTTTGGACTTTGTTTGCTAGTATTCTGTTGAGGATTTTGCATCTATGTTCATCAGGAATATTGGTCTGTAGTTTTCTCTTCTTATGTCTTTTTCTGATTTGGTATTAGGATGATACTGGCTTCATAGGATGCTTTAGGTATTTTTCGCTATCTTTTAGAATGGTTTCAATAGGATTGGTACCAATTAATTCTTAGAATGTCTGATAGATTTCAGCTGTGAATTTATCTGGTCCTAGACTTTTTTTTTTGTTGGCAATTGTTTTTAATTGCCATTTCAATCTCACTGCTTGTTATTGGTTTATTCAGAGTCTCTATTTCTTTCTGGTTTAATCTAGGAGGGTTGTATATTTCCAAGAAGTTATTCATTTCCTCCAGGTTTTCTAGTTTATGCATGTAAAGGTGTTCATAGTAGCCTTGAATGATCTTTTGTATTTCTGTGATATTGGTTGTAATATCTTCCATTTCATTTCTAATTGAACTTATTTGGATCTTCTCTCTTCTTTTCTTGGTTAATCTCACTAATGGTCTATCAATTTTGTTTATATTCTCAAAGAACCAGATTTTTGTTTTATTTGTCTTTTGTATTTCTTTTGTTTCAATTTCATTTAGTTCTGTTCTGATCTTTGTTATTTATTTTCTTCTGCTGGGTTTGCATTTGGTTTGTTCTTGTTTCTCTAGTTCTGAAAGGTATGAGTGTAGATTGTCTGTTTGTGCTCTTTCAGACTTTTTGATGTAGCCATTTAATGTGATGAAATGAAATAAGTGGTCTCTTAGCACCACTTTTGCTGTATTCCAGAGGTTTTGATAGGTTGTGTTACTGTTATTATTCAGTTCAAAGAATTAAATTTTCATCTTGATTTTATTGTCAGCCCAGTGATGATTCAGGAGCAGATTATTTAATTTCCATGTATTTGCATGGTTTTGAGAGTTCCTTTTGGAGTTGATTTCCAGTTTTATTCCACTGTGGTCTGAGAGAGAACTTGATAAAATTTTGACTTTCTTAGATTTATTGAGACTTATTTTGTGGCCTATCATATGGTCTATCTTGGAGAATATTCCATGTGCTGATGAATAGAATGTATATTCTGCAATCGTTGGGTAGAATATTCTGTAAGTATCTATTAAGTCCATCAGTTCTAGGGTATAGATTAAAGTTCATTGTTTATTTGTTGACATTCTGTCTTGATTGACTTGTCTAGTGCTGTCAGTGGAGTATTGAAGTCCCTCTCCATTATTGTGTTGCTTTGTATCTTATTTGTTAGGTCTAGTGCTAATTGTTTTATAAATTTGGGAGCTCCAGTATTAGGTGCATATATATTTAGGATTGTATTATTTTCCTGTTGGATTAGTCCTTTTATCATTTATAAAGTCCCTCTTTGTCTTTTTTAACTATTGATGCTTTAAAGTCTGTTTTGTCTGCTATAAGAATAGCTATTCCTGCTTGCTTTTGGTGTCCATTTGCATAGAATATCTTTTTCCACCTCTTAGGTTTATGTAAGTCCTTATGTGTTCAGTGAGTAACACATATCTGTTTATGCGGTGTATCACATTTATTGACTTGAAGACAGTAGATACTTGGTTGGTGAATTCTTATCCATTCTGTTGTGTTCTGTATCTTTTAAGTGGTACATTTAGGTCATTTACATTCAATGTCAGTATTGAGATGCAAGGTACTATTCTATTCATCATACTAGTTGTTGCCTGAATACCTTGTTTTGTTTTGTGTTATTGTTGTATAGGCCCTGTGAGATTTATGCTTTCAGGCGGTTCTATTTTGGTATATTTCAAAGATTTGTTTCAAGATTTAGAACTCCTTTTAGCAGTTCCTGTAGTGCGGGCTCTGTAGTCACAAATTCTGTCAGTGTTTGCCTGAGAAAGATTTTATCTTTCCTTCATTTATGAAGCCTAGTTTTGCTAACTACAAAATTATTGGATGATAATTGTTTTGTTTAAGGAGGCTAAAGATAGGACTTTAATCCCTTTTAGTTTGTAGGTTTTCTGCTGAGAAATTTGCTGTTAATCTGATAGGTTTTCCTTTATAGGCTACTTGGTGCTTTTGCCTCACAGCTCTTAAGATTCTTTCCTTCATCGTGACTTTAGATAACTGCTGACAGTGTGCCTAGGTGAAGATCTTTTTGTGATTAATTTCCTGGGTGGTCTTTGAGCTTCTTGTATTTGGATGTCTAAATCTCCAGCAAGGCCAGGGAAGATTTTCTCAATTATCCCCTCAAATAAGTTTTCCAAAATTTCCGATTTCTCTTCTTCCTTGGGAACACCAATTATTCTTAGGTTTGGTCATTTAACAGAATCCCAAACTTTTTTGGAGGCTTTGTTCATTTTATTCTTCTTCTTCTTCTTTTTTCTTTGTTTTTGTCAGACTGGGTTAATTCAGAAGCCTCGTCTTTGAGCTCTGAAGTTGTTTCTTCTACTTGTTTGATTCTATTTTTGTAACTTGCCAGTGTATTTTGCATTTCTCTAAGTGTGTCTTTCATTTGCAGTAGTTGTGATTGTATTTTATTGATGCTTTCTATGTCTCTGGAGATTTTGTCAATCCTGTATTTTAAAAATTTTTTCTCTTCTTTTTTTTTTCCGAGATGGTTTCTCACTCTGTCATTCATGCGGCAATTCTCCTGCCTCAGCCTCCTGAGCAGCTGGAATTATAGGCATGGGCCCCATGCCTGGCTAATTTTGGTATTTTTAGTAGATATGGGGTTTTGCTATGTTGGCCAGGCTGGTCTCAAACTCCTGACCTCAGGTGATCTGCCCACCTCAGCCTCCCAAAGTGCTGGAATTACAGGTGTGATCCACTGTGCCTGGCTAAATTTTTTTAAGTTGGTTTTCTCTGGTTGGCACCTTTCTCTGGTGCCTCCTCAGGTAGCTTAATAATCAACCTTTTGAATTAATTTTTCTGGCAATTTAGAGATTTCTTCTTGGTTTAGATCTATTGCTGGTGAGCTAGTGTGGTCTTTTGATGGTGTTAGATAACCTTGCTTTGTCATATTACCAGAATTGTTTTTCTGGTTCTTTCTTATTTGGGTAGACTATGTCAGAGGAAAGATCTGGGGCTCAAGGGCTACTTTTCAGATTGTTTTGTCTAATGGGTTAATCCTTTGATGTAGTGATCTTCCCCTTCCCCTAGGAATGGGGCATCCTGAGAGCCAGACTGCACTGATTGTTATTGCTCTTCTGGGTCTAGCCACCCAGGGGAGCAACCAGGCTCCAAGCTCCGGTCTGGTAGTGGGAGTGTCTGTAAAGAGTCCTGTGATGTGATCCATCTTCAGGTCTCTCAGCCATGAATACCAGCACCTGTTTTGGTGGAAGTAGCAGGGGCATCAAGTGGACTCTGTGGACTCTGTGAAGATTCTTGGTTGTAGTTTTGTTTACTGCACTGGTTTCTTGAATTCTGGTTGCGTTAGCAGTATACTCGTCATGTGGACAGAGTCTGGACCTTTGGTTAGCCAGGATGTTACAGGTGGTGAAATTAGCTGTTGTTTTCTCCTTTCTTGGAGCTGGGCTGTTCTTTTATGAGTTGCTGTAATAGCTTGAGTTGGTTGGCCTCCAGCCAGAAGGTGGCACTTTCCAGAGAGCATCAGCTGTGGTAGTATAGGGGGAATACAAGCTTGCCCTAAGTTTGCCTGGCTAAGTATTTGGGTTTCTCAGGTTGTGGGTGGGGACATAGAACTCCCAAGAGATTATGTCTTTTGTCTTTGGCTAACAGGGTGGGTAGAGAAGGACTATCAGGTAGGGGCAGGATGAGGCATGTCTGAACTCAGACTCTTCTTAGGTGGGGCCTGCTGCAGCTGCTGTGGGGGATGGGTGTGTTGTTCCCAGGCTAATTAAGTTGTGTTCCCAGGGGATTTTTGTTGCCTTCTGCTGCATCATACATGTCACCAGGGAAGTGGGAGAAAGCCGGCAGTGACAGACCTCATCCAGCTCTCACACAGCCAGCATGGCCAGTCTCACTCTCGTGTGCCCCACCAATAGCACTGAGTTTATATCCAGCCAGCCCCATGAGCAGGGCTGAGATCTTGCCCCAGGCTACAAGCTTCCCCGCAGAGAAAGCAAGCAGGGCTTTCAGGCCCCCACCTGTCTGCTTGCATCAGCTTCTGTGCATATCCACACTTCCTGTTCACGCCCCCACACTACTCCCCTGATTCTGCCCAGGAAAATTTGCCCTGGGTTGAAATTATTACCAAGTTCAGCTGGGGGTTTCCTTCTCCCAGGGGTCCTTCCCCAATTCTACTCGCAGCCCTGCCCAAGGACCCCTGTGAGAGAAAGTCAGAAATGGCTTCCCTGGGGACCGGGAGTGCATACAGGGCTCTTCCCATTGCCGCTTTTACTTTTATATTTCACTTGGCACTCTAAATTTGTTTCAGCTCTAGGTAAGGTATAATCTGGATTTTTAGGTTCCCTCCTTCCATTATCCAGATTTTCAGGTTCCCCAGTGAGGATGTGTGTTTTTGGGCACAGACTTTTCCCCCCTCACACTTTGGGTATTCAGTTTTTTGGCTGTCTCATGGAGTTTCCTGTGGCAAGCTGCTTCTTTCAAAGTGTCTTTGAATTCTTTTGGTTTTTCTGGTGTGTTCCTGTGCTAGTTCTTGGAGCAAAAGTTCACTGTGTGAGTCTCCACATGCTGTTCTGTCCATCTGAGTAGGAGCTGCAAGTTAGCCCTGCCTCCTATCTGCCATTTTTTTTTTCCTGTAAAAGACATTTTTAATACTGTCACGTTTTACTAATGTGGATACACATTCAGGGAGGTAAGGAGATTTGCTCTAGTTCCTGCAGTTAACCCTAAAATTATAGAATCTTTCTCCAAGCTCAGTATTCTTTCTATGACACTATGCAGTTTCTTCCTTTTGAATTACTTTTATTGAGGGAATATAATTTTCCAACTGGTGAAATTAAAGCATTCTGTCACTCTTTCAGCATTAATTACTAACTTGAGAAATTAAAGGAAAATGCAAAGAAGTAATAGCAATTATTATTACAGGCTTATAGAATAGCCTCGATATGAAAAAAAACCTGCTTAAATTTAGAAACTAAATGATTGTGTGTGTGTGTGTTTGCATTTGTGGTGATGGGGACTGTCATAAGGAATTTGAATAAAGGAAATTAAAATATATGAATAAATTATTAAGATATGTTTCCTTGGTTCCCTTACTTAGGACAGAGAAAGCTAAACATCATAGTGCTTAACACATATTGTGTTAAATACCAAGCAACTTTTGTTTTAAACAAACGTGATCAGTATGGTAAAAAACTACCTTTTGCTATTGATTTTATTCAGTATTACCTGGTAGTAGAATATCATTTGATATGTGACTCTAATTTCAATGTCTTGAGAAGAAAGTTTCAATGGTTTCAATCCTTCTACTCTCATATTAACATATGTACATCCACAAATTAGGTTGAGAAAGGGCAAATGTTTCTGGAAGGAAGAAAACATCTAGGTAGACCTTCTTTTAGACTAGTTTACTTCTCATCTACAAGGACAATAAGTTTGTGGAGCTTATGTCTACAGTCCTTTTCATATTAGAAGAAAAAACTCTTCTTCACAGTCATATTGAAGAGGAGGTCCATGTGTTCTTAATATTGTGGACAATGACTAAGCCTTGACTACATATGGAGAGGCAGAAATGAGAAGACAGAGAATGTTGTTCTGATACTGCTTCCCTGCCCACTTCTGTTCAAAGAGCATGGTGAAACCAAATGTCTGGGAGAACAGAAGTTCTAAGCTTGGTACCAACAGCTTGAAATGTTTATTCTCAATAATGCTCTGGTAAGTCTCCTCAGCTTCATGTGGTTGCTATGCCCCGAGTAATTTGGGATCCCTGCCAACTTTAGGTTGGTTTAAATGAACAGGTTAGCATTGGCACTGGGGGACAGAATATCATTGAACATTTGTACTGTCAGCAAGGGTGTTAACTTAGTAAACATGTAGTACCTAAAGATGGAAAGCTTATGGTGCCACAGAACGAAACAATACATAGAAAATTATCAGGAATTGCTGAAGTATATAAATTTATGTATTTATATGTATGTCTGTCTACCTTCATCAGTATTGATATGGCTCCGATTAGTGGAGAAACATAAGGGCTCTTGTCTCATGCTGAATTAGGTAAAGCTACACGGACACATGTGGAGTGGTTTTAAGGAGTAGAGAGTTTAATAGGCAGGAAAGAAGGGAGAAGAAAGAAGGAAGAAGCTCCCCCATGCACAGACAGAGAGAGGGGGGCCCCAAAGCCGAGAGAGGAGACCCTGAGTCTGGCTGATACCAGCCAGTTATATGAAGAGGCTGGGTGAGGTGGTGTCTGATTTGCATAGGGCTCAGGGGATTGGCTTGACCAGGCATGTCATCCAGGTAGCGGCAAAAAAACTGGCCCTCCCACTCTAACCTTTCAATATGTGAATGCAGGACACCATAATGCTCTACACACATGGGGATATGTGGGGGTGGTTATGTTGCCCGGCACATGTGGGGGCAAGGGCAGGAAGAAGAGGGCAGGAATCGCCATGTTTGGGTGGACCCAATTTCTAATGGCCTGCATTTGCATGTCAAAGGTTGCCTGCTGGGCTGTAAGAGCTGGGGCTTTCCTGCTAGGCAAGAAATATTTCTGGAGCTGCTTTAAAAGAAACAACTTTCCCGCCGAGCGCGGTGGCTCACGCCTGTAATCCCAGCACTTTGGGAGGCCGAGGCGGGCGGATCACAAGGTCAGGAGACCGAGACCATCCTGGCTAACAAGGTGAAACCCCGTCTCTACTAAAAATACAAATAATTAGCCGGGCGTGGTGGCGGGCGCCTGTAGTCCCAGCTACTCAGGAGGCTGAGGCAGGAGAATGGCGTGAACCCGGGAGGCGGAGCTTGTGGTGAGCCCAGACCGCGCCACTGCACTCCGGCCTGGGCGACAGAGCGAGACTCCGTCTCAAAAATAAATAAATAAATAAATAAATAAATAAACTAACTAACAAACTAAGACCCTCATTCCAAAGGGGTCCTACCCTATACCTGGAAGAAAGAAAAGCTGCAATAGAAAAGCCAAGAAGACTCTGAACAGACAGGCCTTGCGAGGTTTCCCCTGTCTAGTACCATTAGCTCATACCCTTTTTTTGGCCAATCACATTTCTACATGACTATTTCTGCTTTGTCAAATCTAATCATAAAATCAGAGAGCTTCTCCTGTATTTTGGGGTCTCCATTCTGAAGGCTCCCATGTTATGAAAAACTACGGTCAAATTCATTTTTTATGCTTTTATCTTGTTAACTACCTGTCTTTTTTTATAGGGGTGTGGGTCGTGACCCTTATGATGGGAAGGAAAGAGATTGCCCCGTTTTCCTCCTTACAGTTACATGCAGCTGCATTCATTAGTTTTCACTGCTGTAGATTTCATTGTATGAATATACCACATTATATTTATCCATTTTACCGCTGATAGGCATTTGGGTTGTTTTAAGTTTTAGCTTATTATAAATTATGCTGCCATGAACATTGTCATACATGATTTTTGAGTGTATATGTGAATGTACTTCTATTAGGAATTACCTACAAACAAATGTGAAAATGCTGGATAATAAAAGGATTCATTTTTCCGTATTTGTAGATAATGCCAAGCAGCTATCCTAAGTTTTACATGAATTTACGCTATAGCCAACATTAAAAGAGTTCCTCATGTTTGCCAACTTAGTGATTCAATCAGAAATTTTAAAAGTTATTTTGTCGAGTGTATGTTGGTGTCATAAGAAACCCATAATTTGCATTTCCCAGATGACTGGACTATTTTCATAGTTTTTGGACATTTAAATATCACCTTTTGTTAATTTCCAGTATAAGTGGTTGGCCCATTTTTTATTAAGTCGTCTTTCTTTTTTCTTGCTTTATATATACTTGGATAAGAGCTTTTGTTGGTTACATGTCTTGTAAATATCTTCTCCTATGCTACAGTTATCATTATATTCTCTGATGATTTTTCATTAGTATAAGTTATTAGTTCATCAAACGTTTTCTCTACAGTTAATGTTCTTTGATTTTAAGAACTCCTGTCCTTTAGACCTGATGATATTTTATGTTATTATCTAAATGCTACATTCTAGAAGTTTTATTATCTTACCTTTTCTAATTAGAGTAATAAAAGTGAGCTGAAATTGATATCTGTGTATGGAAACTGCCTTCTTTTATAGTTTGATAAAATTTTCTTTTATTTTCCTTTTTAGTGTGAATACATGTTGAAATGTATCAAATATTTTTCTGCATTTATTGAGATGATCATATTTTTTCTTTTTTATTTTCATTATGTGACAGAATATGTTGAGTTTCTGTAATATTAAAACACCATTATATTACTGGAGTAACCCAACCTTAGTCATATGTAATATTTCTATATTGCTAGATTTGGTTTGCCAGTATTTTGCTTAATATTCCTATCTATGTTCAAGCCAGTTTTGGTGTCAATATTACACTGAATTCTTTAAATAAGTTAGAAAGTATTCCTCCTTTTTTCCTTCTTGGAAGAGTTTGTACAGGTGTTGAATTTGCCTCTTCCTGAATATTAGTAGAATTCACTGGTGAAATGAGAGTAGAATCTACTAGTGAAAGCATTTTGATCTGGAGTTTTTTTTTCTGGAAGTTTTATGGTTATGGATATTGAATCTGTGATTGTAAAAAACTTTAATAAATTGTTCAGATTTTCTGTTCATTTTTGTGGTAGTATTTGTACATTGTGTTTTCTTAGAATATTCCCATTTCATCTAAATTTTCAAATTTATTTGTATACAATTGATATAATATTTCATTATCTTTCTTTTTAATGCCTATAAACTCTGGTGATGTCTACATCTCAAATTTTTGTCATGTTTATTCTTTAAAGTCTTGCCAGAAATTTATAAATTTCTAAAGTCTTTTCAAAGTATCAACTGTTGGTTTTATTGATAGACTCAAAGGTAACATGTGTTTATGGGTCCATTGATTATTTTTCTTCATTATTTCCTTCTTTCTTTTTTTGGTGAGTGGAAGTAATTTACTGAACATTTTAAAGTTTCTTGAGATAGTTGTTTATTATTTGGTTATCTATTGCTGTGTAATGAATTATTCCAAAACTCAGTGAAACTATTTATTTTTTATGGCTCTGTGGATTGATAGGGTTTAGCTGGGGTCTCTTGTGCTGTTATAGATGAATGCCATTTGGGGCTGGAGTCATCTGAAGCCTTGAGGGCAAGGTCACCTAACGTAGCTTCTTTACTCACATGTCTGATGCCTCATATTGGGATGGCTGGCGTAGTTGGGGGCTGGCTGTGCTTTATCTTATCTCCACACTATTTCTTCACTGTGGATGGCTTACTCACAGCATGGTGATCTCAAGACAGTTGAATTTTTTACATCTGGCTGGCTTGTGCCAGAGTGAGCACTCTGAGAGAGTTAGATGGAAGTTGTTCTAAGAGAGCATGGAGGAGTATTCTTTTTTTTTTTTTAAATCACTTTACTTAGGTATGATGACAGCAAAGTGGAAGCTATAAGACTTTCTATGACCTGGCTCAGAAATCATGGGAATTCATGTCTGCTGCATTATGCTGGTAAAAAGTGAGTCAGAAGGCCAGTCCGAATTCAAGAAAGGAGACCACACAAGAATGTGAATAACAAGAGGCTTTTTCAATTTGAGATCACCTCTGGAGTCTAGCTACCAAACATTGTTTATTAAATTTTCTGACATATTTAAATAAAGATATACATTTCCTTATAAGCACAGCTTTTTCTGCACTATCTAGATTTAATATGCTGTATTTTATAAGCATTCAATAAAAATACTTTCTAAGTTCTATTGCTATTTTTTATGACCCATTGGTTATTTAGAAATATGTTTCTTACTTTCTAATATATATAGATTCCAGATATCTTTTTATTTCTAACAGATTTCCTATGATCAGAAAATATATTTGCTTTAAATCCTTTGTTAATATCCTAGCATTTCTTAATTATGATAAACCGTGAATATTTGAAAAGAATGAGTTTTTGGCAACTCTCACAAACAGAGTACTATATATAATTTAGTTAAATTTCTAAAATAATATTATTCAAATCTTTTATATTCTTATTGAAATTCGGTTTCACTAAAAATTTCCCAATGATTATTTAATAGCTTTATTCTTAATTCTGTTAATTTATTGTTTATATTTCAAGAGTCATGTGAATAAAGACAGTTTTACTTCTTTCTTTCCAAACTGGATAACTTTGATTTCTTTTACTTGCCTTAATGCGCTGTTCAGATCTTCCTTTTTAATGTTGAATAGATGCGCTAAGGAAGAACATTCTTGCCTGGTTCTTCATCTTAGGGGGAAAGCATCTAGTCTTTTACCGTTTAGTATGCTGTTGGTTGATTTTTTAGATAATAGATGCCTTTTATCAGATTAAGGAAATTCCTGCCTGTTATTAGTTGGCTAAGTTTTTATTAGGAATAGATGTTGGATTTTTTTGTCAAATGATTTTTCTACATCTATTGAGATGATTATGTGATTTTCTGTTTTAATCTTTTAATATGAACTACATTGATTTTCAACTGTTAGACAATCTTTGCATTCCTGAAGTAAATGCCGCTTGGTCAGGGTTTATTATATTTTGATAACGTTGTTGAATTTAATTGGCCCATATATTACCAATATTTTGAGAATTGATGCATCTATATTCATGGGGGACATGAGTATGTAGCTTTCTTATGGTGTCTTTGATTTAGTATCAGAACGATGCTGGCCTCAAAGGAAGAGTTCCACTTCAATTTTTCTGGGAAAGGTTTGTAGAGAATTGGAATTATTTCTTCCTTAAATGCTTGGTAGAATTCACCAGCAAAGCCATTCAGACCTGGAGTTTTATTTAAGAAGTAACTCTCTAAACTTAAGAGGAAAATAATCAAAGATGTGTATGCTTCTATTGGAGCCTTATTTTGTTGAATATTCTTAACACTAAATTTTTTTCTCTCAGTGAACCTGCAGGAGAATTTATATACTCTATACATGCTGGAGCAATTATTTTACTGGTATTCTCAGCAAGCATAGATTTTATTTATCTCTGAGTCCAAAAAAATTTCTAGCTGTATTATAAATATCTTTAACATTTAAACTGAAATGTTGAATATTTGTTAGCTCATTATCACATGCTTTTCTGAAATATTAGTACTCTCCTGTCTTGCATTTTTTTGCTTTATGTATGGCAAAGATGTTTTCTTTATAATGTAATGAATTGGAGATTTTTTTCATTATTTAAAAAACTTTTCCTATGATGTTTGTTTTAAATTCTGTATCCTAGATAAAAACGGTTTTACTATGAAACACTGCTTTGGTTATAGATAGAACAAATGTTTTCTAAAACTACCAAGCTAAATGTACAAGACCATGATAGAACTTCGTTTTATTCAGTGATGCTAAAGAGAAGATATTTAACCTTATGCCAAAATTTATAATAGAGAAAACATCATTCATGTTGTCATGTTGCCATTTTTATCTTGGAAACTTACTGTTATCTCTTTTATACTATGCAGTTCTGGTATCTAGGTACCATAAAGTCTTCATCAAATGAGTGCTTCTATTATTCTATTTCCCAACTCATTGATATAAAAGAGATTCCATGGAGATAAATTATGAGGCTAAGTTTTTTAAGTACAAAATAAGATGCTCCAAAGTCTTAAAAATCTTTATGTGAGGAAATTTAGGTTATCTTAAATATAATGGTCATATTTATAAGTTGAATGATTATTCGGTGGCAAATAATATAGTGAATGTACCAATGCTTTAATAGGCTTAATTAGTTTTAACATAAAATAATTTGATATTAGACCTTGGTTGGTTGCATAGTTTATGATTTTCTGTCATTCTGTAGGTTGTCTGTTTACTATTTTGATAGTATCTTTTACCATACAGAAACACTTTAGTTTAATTAGGTTCTGTTGTAAATTTTGATTTCTGTTGCAATTGCTTTTGGGGACTTAACCAAAAAACCTTTGCCAAAGCCAATGTTAAGAAGGGTATTTCCTAGGTTTTCTTCTAAGATTTTTATAGTTTGAGGTCTTACATTCAAATCTTTAATCTATCTTGTTAATTTTTGTATATGGTGAAAGGCAAGGCTATAGTTTCATTCTTTTGCATATGGCTAGTCACTTATCCTGCCACCATTTATTGAATAGTGAGTCCTTTCCTCATTGCTTGTTTTTGTTGGCTTTGTCGAAGATCATATGGTTGTAGGTGTGTGGCTTTATTGCTGATTAAATGTGGCACACATACACCATGGAACACTACACAGCATAAAAAATAATGAAATTACGTTCTTTGCAGCAACATGGGTGGAGCTGGAGGCTATAATCCTAAGTGAATAATAGAGGCATAGAAAACAAAGTGCCACATGTTGTCACTTATAAGTGGGAGCTAAATATTGAGCACACATAGACAGAAACATGGGAAAAATAGATACTGTGCACTATTAGATGCAGGAGGGAAGGAGGGGAATGTGAGTTGAAAAACTACCTATTGGGTATTATGCTCACTACCTGGATGCAATATACCCAGGTAGCAAACCTGTATAAATACCCCCTGTATCTAACATAAAAGTTAAAATTTAAAAGGAAAAAAAAAATAACCTGAGCTCCTTAATAAGATTTTGTCTAGTGTACCAGGTTAGAAGGCAGGCCGATCCCATAGGACTAGTATGGTCAAGAACACACTTTGATTTCCTTCTAAAATAAACATGTACACAAACAGACAAATTACTTTCTAGGAATAGTTTAGAAAGGAGATAAGAGTGTAAGTTTTAGAGATACTCACTGCTTTGTGAAGGTTCTGAGTTGGCTCCTACACTATTCCTATATCTAGTCCCTCAAATCTCACTCTTTCCGGTTCTCTTCTCTTCCTTACCTCCAGGATGTCTTCACTCCAGGATTAGTTTGTCCAGGGATAGGCAAGGAGTAAACCAATCTTCTGATCAGATCATCTGCTTAATTCTACCATTGTGCATGTTTTCCTCTGTTTACTCTTCCCTGATATTACCAACACTTGTTGATCAAACTGTTCTTGGTTCTCTTTCTGACTTTTCAAGGTATTTGGAAAGGAAACATTTCCTATATTCTTAAAAAACCGTATCATGTATTATTTTTCTATGTGATTTAAAATATTTTTCTTGCCTCTTAGATTAAATATTCACCTTTAACTTTTGTTTAAATGAGTTTTCCCTTCATATATGGAAGAGGTAAACTTCTACCCATCCTCTTTCCAAATAATTGCACATTTTGAATGAATGTATTTCAATATGAGCTTCCTGTATCCCAGAGGAATTAACTCAGACCGAAACGGTGGACGAACCTGCAATCTGAAACTAAAAAGAACCATATTTACTAGGAGAATTAAGTATTGAGTTCAGTGATTGCTTTTCTACAACCAAATTGTGAATAGAATTATTATCTAATATGGAAAAGAAAACCAACGAAAACTCAACACACCAAATTCTAATGAATTACTGAAGACTTTTGGTGAACATCCAGTGAAATCGTAAAGTGGCAATAGGCAGTCATCTGCCTTCCACTCAATGCATTTCAGAATTTATCAGATCCTGAATATATTATGGCCATCATCCATTTTTAAAAATGTTTCCTAATTTTGCAGTAAGATATGCTTCTGTAATTTGAAATAATTTTTTTTGGTATTTCAGAAAACTTTTTATATTCTGAGGATTTGTGAGTTCACATATTTTAAATAGGCGGTTATACACCTTTCGCTTTATCTTCTTCCCCTCACTGTAAATATCAGATGCTCTAATTAAAGAAAGACATGAAACTGGAGTACAAAATAGATGGTGTCTCCCAAAAGTACAACTTTGAAAGAAAAAAAAAATTCTTGTAAAGCAACAGGAGCATACTCTGTGATTATGTGCTCTGGGGCAGTTACACAGCGAGCATGATGGGGATTACAAATTTGCTTGCTCTGGCAAGAAGGATATGCCTATTAACAGAAACCAGCTGTTCGGAAAAAATGCGATGCCCAAAGTAGTGAAAGGATGTCTTAATTTAGCTTTGGGCTGCATTTATTACTGCTGAAAATTTTTTTAGAAACTATCAACTCCATTCAATTAATAACGTTCTTGTGAATTTATGTAACACAAAGGAAATATTAAGAATAGATCATCTAAAGTAAATCAATCTGTATGGCTTAACAACGCCTTTTATTTATTTATATTTTTTACCATGCCATGTCTGTAGGCTTTCTGACTTGTCATTTTTTATTCAGGCCTATGCAAGGAAGCAACTTAATCATGTTAGTAGAAACTGTTTGTGTTTTCAGAGTGACTAACAGACTGCATAGTTCACTTAGAGCCCTCCCTGATCATTGAGGAGAGAAGAGAACTGCATTTCGGATTAACTGAGCATCATATCTCTCTACTTTTCTTAATCTATAATTTTTGGGCAAATATCTTGCATCCTCCTAAATTTGAGTAAAATTATGTGGAAACATAAAAATATGGCTTATAGAAATATTTAACTCAAAAATGAAAAAGCAACAAGGATAGTGAAAAGTCTAACTGGAATATATATAGTCTGAAACATAAAGGTCTTATTTGAAGTCCTGGGACTTCTTTATCTTCATAGTGATTTCTTTGTTTTTTTTTTTTGTCATCTATTATAATAAAAGGATGTTTTACTGAGAATCAATTAATGGTCAAATGAAATGGCAAGCACTTTTTATACAACATTCAATAAGACAGATTTTCTCTTGCAACTCAGTGAAGGTGAAACAATCAGGTGTTGACAAACCTAAGTGATAAGTACTATGGAGATACTCCAAAGATTATAGGAGTACAAAGATTCAGCACTAAAAAGAGGCAACTGAGTTAGCCTTGGGTGTGGTTTGTATATGTGTGTGTGTGTGTGTGTGTATGTGTGCACACAGGCATTCTTGCAGAGGGAAGAGATGCTGTAAACAAGAATTGAAATACTGATTCAACTTAGTTTAATCTGGTGGGCAATACAGGGAAAGGAAAGGCATTCTAGACAATGGGATCAGCATGGACAGAAGCTTCTGAAGAGCAGCCAAGTGTCAAGCTTTTTCAAAGAGTATCAGAGATGTATGTGGAGGGCTAGTCAAGGAAGAGTTTGTGAGCAATGGTAAGAAGTTTGTACTTTATCTTAAAAGCAAGAGGAAAATCTTTAAGGGTTTTAAGTAAAGAAATTATATTACAGTTAAGATGTTAGAAATTTTAACACCTCTGCTCCCTTAAGTCACATCCGTCTGCCTGGGTGGTTAGAGCCTAGGTGAAGTTTTGACCTTAAAAGACCCTTCAGGGCAACAACTAACCTGTTACACACTGTTAAATATCCAGAACTGAGGATATTTTCCAGAACAATGGATGAATTAGATAATTTTTTTTAGAAAGTGAATAGAAAAATGAAGAGGCCGGGCACGGTGGCTCACACCTGTAATCCCAGCACTTTGGGAGGCTGAAGCGGGTGGATTACCTGAGGCCAGGAGTTTGAGACCAGCCTGGCCAACATGGTGAAAACCCATCTCTTCTAAAAATACAAAAAGTTAGCCAGGCGTGGTGGTGGATGTCTATAATCCCAGCTATTTGGGAGGCTGAGGCAGGACAATTGTTTGAACCTGGGAGGTGAAGATTGCAGTGTGCTGTGATCGCACCACTGCACTCTAGCCTGGGCAACAGCGTGAGACCCCATCTCAAAAAAAAAAAAAAAAGATAATAAAAAAAGTCTGTAGGCATCTAATCAGCTCTCTTCTCCAGACATAATATGGAAGTTCTGATGTTGCCTGAACTCAACTTACAATATTTAATTTATCCCATGCCTCATTAGGACTGTGCTTGAACAAACTCTCGGATAACTCAATTAATGGTTTTTATCAATCAGAAATTTGATTTGTTACAACAAAAATATATTGAAATCCCATGCATATGTTAGTGTCTTAGGTGTTAGGTGACATCAAGACAACAGATCTGGAACTTTAAGCAGTTCAGATTCTTACCTCTCTTTTATAAACAGCTTTTAAAATATCTTGTATCTTACTTTATATAGTTGAATCTTCATTGCATCAGGGTAGTTCAGGAATTATCATCTTTATTCAATATTTTATTATATCAATTTTATTTCTTTTTTTTTTAAATTAGAGATAGGGTTTCACCATGTTGCCCAGGCTGGTCTTGAACTCCTGAGCTCAGGTGATCCACCTGCCTCAGCCTCCCAGAGTGTTGGGATTATAGGTGTGAGCCACTGTGCCCAGCCACTTGTATCAATTTTCTAACCACTCAAAGATTTGGTATTATTTTAGTCTCAGAAATGTTTGTCAAATCTCTATTTTAATTAAAAATAGTTCTCTTTAACTTTATAAATCAATTATTTAAAATCTGATCATATTTTGTTATCTACAACATATCACTGCACTCTTGATACTAGTTCCATCGGTACAGTAAAAAAAAGTTTGATTTTAACAGCAATAGACAATTCTGCAATTTCAGGGAGAAAAACCTTTTTGTTTTTGCCATTTTAATATATACAGACTTGGTTTGCATTTTATACTTAAATAAGCTGAAGTTCTTTCAAAATCTTAAATTCTGTTCTGGTCACTTTGAATTTCTTTTCCACATACCATTTTCTTAACTATTTTATAGACTCAAAAGTTGGAGGAAGTTTCTGGGATCCTTACAACACAGTATTTGGGAGAGAACTTTCAATAATTTTTTTGATACTGTTTTTGCAAGTTAATGACATTATTTAGGAGAAAAAATACCGTTAAATGCATAGACAGGGAAAATGTGAAAAACAAATGTTAGAACAAAGGAATGCTTTACAGTCAATTGTTTTGATTTTTCATCTTGGATACATGAAGTCAAACAGCATGAAAATCTGTAGTTTTAAATTTACCTTCACAGCTAACATTTTTAATATACCATATGTAGAAAATGTAAAATTCTCACTGTCGATATTGATACAAAATTATCTTTATTTTGGAAATTATATTTAATATGACTAGAGTATATATTGTACGATTATTGCTGCACTACTGTAAATTTTTGAATGTTGGATGCTTAAGTTTTGCCCATTTCAGTAATTTTTTTGCACTCATTTTCTTTTCATGTAGGAGAAGAGAAAAGAAACATTTAAATCTGTAAGAAAATTATATGGTACATTCATAGTTCTCAATTACTGGGCCAATTTGAAGTGTCGTTCAGCTATGCCATCAAATAAGCGCTAAACACATTTTGTAAATTGAAAAAAAGAGTTCAAAACTTTGTTTGCTTGTGTGATATCTAATAGATTTACTTTCTAGATGATAGGCTTGGATGGGCTTCTCACAGGGACAAAGAGGACCAGAGAATTTAAGAGCCTGCTCAGCCATGCTTCTTGCCCTGAGCCTGGAGCGCAGGCATTGCCTTACTGAAGGTCAGTCTTCTGATGACCCTGGAGAGAGGACCAGAGGGGCCTCAGGGATACTGAAGAGGAGCATCTCCTTTTGCTAGAGCTAGGTAATACATCTCTGGTGAGTGCTGCCACTTTTTTTCCCCCTAAAAAAAACAAGAACGATCACAACTTTAATTAACAGCTTATAATGTACCTGTCTGTGGGCTCACTGCTTTAGGAGAGGTCATTTCTTTCAATCAGGCTATGTGAAGTAGGTTTAATGTGTCCATTGTGGAGATAAGGAAATTGAGGTTTACAGGAATTAGGCAGTTTATCAACAGTCATGAGAGGAGTCAGTAGAGGATACTGTGGGTCTAACCCCAGAGCCCATGCCTTCCATCACCGTATTGGCACTTTCTCTCTTGATCCCACTGTGCTAGACCGGCCCTGTTTGGAGGCAGGCATATTTTCCTCAATCCAGCCTCTTTCTAGGACTCTGGGCATGGATGGGTACCTAAGGTCCTCATGGTTTTATGCACTCCTCCTTATCGTAATGTGCTTACGGAGAATTACATAATATAATGATTTAGTATCTCAGTGTTAAAGACTAAGAATTGACACATTTCTCTCAGGGAATCTGTACCTCAATTCTTGGAGAGTATTAGTAATCTTTTTCTAGCTTTATGTAGGTATGATTGACAAGTGAAAATTATATATATTCAGGGTACACAATGTGATGTTTTGATGTATGTGTACATTGTGAAATGATTACTACAATCTAATTAACAGATCCATTACCTCACATAGTTACTCTGTGTGTGTGTGTGTGTGTGTGTGTTGAGAAGACTTGAGATCTACTCTGTTAGCAATGCAGTATAATTAACTATTAATCACCATACTCTACTCCAGAACTGATTCATCTTCTAACTGCAGGATGCTGCCCTTCAACCAACATCTCCATTTTCTGCCTATCCCCCAACAGCTGGTAACCACCATTCTACTCTCTCTTCCTATGAGTTTGACTTCTTCTAAAAGATCCCACATGTAAGAGACATCAGGCAGTATTTATCTTGCTTCACTTAGTAAAGTGTCTTCCAGATTCATCCACATTGCAAATGGCAGGATCTCTGACCTTTTTAAGGCTGAATAATATACCAATGCATGTATTTAGACACACACACGCACACACACACACACACACAATTTATACACACAGACACCCATTTTCTTTATTCATTCATCTGTCAACTGATAGGGAATAGCCAATATCTTGGCTATTGTGAATAATGCTGCAGTTAACCTGGGAGTATACATATCTTTTTGAGATATTGATTTTATTTCCTTTGGATACATACCCTGAAATTGGATTGCTGGATCATATGGCACATTTCTTACCATATGAAACCATACGTTGGTCAAAGGACAGTATCCTGCAGTTATAAGATGAATCACTTCTGGAGACCTAATGTAGAGTATGGTGATTAATAGTTAATTATACTGTATTGCTAATAGAGTAGAAGTCTCTGGGCTGATTTCATGGGCATATTGAGAGTGTGGCATATTCCTCCCATTTCACTAATCTCTAAGGTTTTGAAGTGCATTTCAAAGCTCAATCTTCATCTCCTCTCTCCTAAATTTCAGAGGCAATTCTCCCTGGAAGGCAGGAATCCCACCATGGAGAATCAACATGTGGCCAATCACTGTTCTTTATGAATGTACTTCCTTCGGGTATGTTAGAGCTAAATAATTTTTGTAAAAATCTGTTAAAAATATTTTGTTCTTCTTTGAAATATCTGAATACTGGACAAGTCTTAATTCCATTGCATTAAGATAAATCAACAAATAATAACAAACGGTACCTTTCTCAAACATTAACCAGGTAGCTTGCTTACAAGTAATATAATTCCTGGGCCGTTTCAGCCTTGAAACCTACTCATTCACAGCCATTATTAAATTCCTCCCAGGGGCTGAGGTGTAAAACTTTCTCTATGTTTACTTCTCTGCTTATGCGTCCTCTGAGGAATCCAAATATTTTAAGTCCCTTCTTTGATGCAGAAAAATACAAAATCAGAAGTATGATTCTTCCTGTAAAAAAGAATCAGCTTTAATTAAAGGGAGACACAGCAATTCCCTGGGGGAAAATACTTCTATGTTCAATTTCTCTCCTAGAAATCCCTTCTGTGTGTTTATAGGGAAGCTGGAATCTTGATGTAGTAAATGGAACACAAAAGCTTTGGTTGACTAACTAATCATATTTGAAATCAATTTCTCAAATAAAAGCTTAAACCTGACTCTGAGAATGCTGATGATTTCTCTGTAGTGTTTTCCTGCCAGTCAGTGTGAAGAGAAAAGTACACACCTAGCCAGCTGTGGTGGCTCACGCCTGTGATCCCAGAACTTTGGGAAGTTGAGGCGGGAGGATTGCTTGAGCCCAGGAGTTCGAGACAAGCCTGGGCAACATAACAAGATTCTGTATCTACAAACAATTACAACATAACAAGATTCCGTATCTACAAACAATTAAAAAGTTAGCTGGTCATGGTGACGCATGCCTGTAGTCCCAACTACTTGGGAGGCTGAGGCAGGAGGTTGGCTTGAACCCAGGAGTTCAAAGATGTAGTAAGCTAGGATCGTGCCACTGCACTCCTGCTTGATGATAGAGTGAGACCTTGTCTCTAAAAATATAATTTTTGTAATAAAAAAATAAATAATAAGAGTGGGTTGCAAGTAAGAGAGAATAAGCAATGTAGACCCACTTTATTGTTAAAAAAAAAAAAAAGGGCACACCTATTGCCATTTTACTCAGTGGAAATGTAACCTCTTAAATATAAAACTTGCTGTTTATGTTGTAATTTTATGAACTCCATTTTGGAGAACTGAGGAAAGTCTTAGAATATGACCACAGCAGGAGGTAGTGATAGTCTATAATTATTTGCACTTATGGTTAAAATACACACACAGAATCAACTTAAACGAACTTGGTGTCTTTTAATCTTTACCCCACCACAAAGCCAAGGTCTTTATTTTGAATACTTATAAAGACTTCAGTAAGATTTCCCATATTTGGAAGCAACCTTATCTCCTATCTCCTAGTCATAGCTATTCCTATTCAGAATAAGCTTGAAATAATTTTGGCAGTTTCAAATTCAAATCATAACATAAAACTTTATTCATGTCTTAACACACATTTCCTAGCTCCAATAGCATTTGACTTTTGTATTAATTTCAGGTTCCTCCAAACTCTATGTTCAATTTACCTTCTGTCATGTATATAGCTCACTTATTTACCAGGACAAGTTATTGTTCAAACTCACAGGTAATCTTGGATCTGGGCACTTTGTTAAGATCTAATATCATTAATTAGGTAGGAGTCAGTATTTTATTTGTATCTGGGCCTTCTTGAGACTTCTGAAACCACAATGTATAGGTAGCTAACTTTTTTTAGCAATGGGAAGAAAATGTTAATGGCGATGCTCACATCAACAGCAAACAAAAATCAAACAGTAAGACACAGCATTAAAGTAGCATCCTTTTCAGCAATTATTATGTGCCAGGCACTCTATTAAGAATTTCAGACTCTTGTGTTATTTGAGAAGACTCTTGGAGAAATACAATTCGATGAGTATAATTGGCTAAATTATAAGGTTCTAACAGTAGGAGGCATATCTGTTTTGTGGCCTGTCATATCTCTATGGTCTGACACAGACGGGTGCTCAATTAATATTTATTTACTTATAGAATGACCACCATCACCTCTGCTTTATAGATGTGGAGATGGAGGATCTGAGAGGTGACAGAGGCATATGGTTTGTAAATGCTGGAGCCAGGATAACTGACTTGAAAGCTAGGCTTAGATCATTATGCCCTTTTGCCTTCCTGTGCTAATAGGTAAACGTAATTCTGGTTCTATGTAAAAAGCATGTAAAATCGGAGGAGTGGAGGCTCTTAGTGGTTTGTAATATAGAGACTCCAAAAGTCTATTGCAAACATATAGCTGACACACAGTTTTCTCTCATGCAATGGTCTAAGCTCTTTCTCACAGGACATAAGGCATCATATCTTGACAGTATTTAGCTAATAATAATGGCCTGAATTCAGTAAGAAATGGATTTATTCAGCCTGTGTCAAGGGAATCTGTCCATGTTGTTGCTAAAGTTCTCTAAATCAATGTGGTGGCTGTTCTTTATTAATCATTCTAGATCTCAGCTCTGAAAAGCTTAAAACTATCTGCAAAACAAAAATATGTTCTCAGCCAAAATTTTCAAAATCCACTCCTGTTCCCCACCCCCCAGACCTGAAGTGTATCAAACTAAGTATAAAATGTTATTCCAGTGATTGAGGTCGCTGGATTTGTATTCACCTTTCGTTTTCTTAGCACTCTTCCCTGTGAGAAGTCAAATTCCTAATAGCCCCAGAGTTAACATCCCCTCTCCACTTATCCATTCTGCACTACAGAGAAACAGTCACTCCCTTTCAAGTGTTGTGCCTTCTCCTTGTTTTATGAAACACAAAAACACTCTGGGAAAAATATCTAACAGTTGTGTGCTTTTGACTGAGATTCAGATTGATCCTGGACCCGAAAACTTTTAAAACCTGCATCCCCATTTAACATTCGGAATCAATGTGAGTTTCTTAAAAGGTGTATATTAGGAATTTTGCCATGGTTATATTCTGACTACGTACATTTGAAGGAGAATAAAAAAGACAAATGTATCTTTTTGTTCTAAGCTGTATGAGTTTTTTATAAAAGAACCACTTCCCTGGTTTCTTTTATTATTAGAAGGTTAAAATATGGCAGTATGTTGCTATGAATTAACCAATCCTCTCAAGATATTAAAGAGAGGATCCAAGCCTCTGGAGGCTTTCTATGAAATAAGAAGGACCAACTGTTTCTTGAATCTACGGTGTTATGGAACCAAGAGGCTCCTTGGGTACTGAAAAGATATATTTGGCAGAGAAAGACAGATGCCAAATCTTCTATTTTCTGCAGTATTGCAAAGGGAGTTCTCCCCCAATGTATAATGGGAAGCCCACAACACAAATTCTGTCTGGCTTAGGCACTGTCCATAGTACCCCCCTTTCCACACACTCACGGGGTATCTTTTAAATTATTTTCTTATGTAGACTGATGATCTTACATATGTAAGTCTTCCTAGCATTTGAAATATTTATATAATTCATCAAATTGAGTGGGAGCACCTGGGCCCCAGATCAGCTTGCATGAGTTTTGTCGTCTGATTCATTTTGCCCAGGACCTGGTGAAACTGGGTGAAGCTAATTGCTAGGTTACCAAGCCTACAAAATTCAGCAAATGGATAATGTACAGTAGTGCATAGAAAAATAACAGAAGCTTGCAAATCCCTAAACATTCACTTTTCTTTTTATCACAACAGATTAAGAGATAGAAAATTTATCCTAAAGCATTGACTTTCAATTTCAAAATGATTGTTTACAGAATTTTAGGTGAATCACCAAGTAGCTTACTGTTAGACTGAGGTGAGGAATACATACAGATTAGCAGAAAATCTTTGAGTACTATATGTATTTATCATAATCCTGAGGGATTGTTTTTATTACTCCTCTCTCAGCTCAAATTCAGCTATTTTTTGGAAAAGATAAAGTATGTAGATAACAGAAGATATTTTAATTCAGTTTCTTAGTGTTTGAGGCCCAAATTCTTCTTCTTCTCCATTTTTTTTTTTTTTTTTTTTTTTTTTGAGATGAAGTCTCGCTTTGTCTGTTGCCCAGGCTGGAGTATAGTGGACTGATCCCAGCTCACTGTAACCTCCACCTCCTGGATTCAAGCAATTCTCCTGCTTCAGCCACCCGAGCAGCTGGGATTACAGGTGCCCGCCACAACACCTGGCTAATTTTTGTGTTTTCAGTAGAGACAGGATTTTGCTATGTTGGCCAGGCTGGTCTCAAACTCCTGACCTTAAGTGATCTGCCTGCCTCGGCCTCCCAAAGTGCTGGGGTTATAGTCATGAGCCACGGCGCCCAGCCCCAAATTCTTTATTGTACACAGTATCAAAATTTCCTGTATTTGTTTTAATAATAGAAACCCCAGGCCAGGCGCGGTGGCTCACGCCTGTAGTTCCAGCTACTTGGGAGGCTGAGGCATGAAAATTGCTTGAAGCCAGGAGGCGGAAGTTGCAGTGAGCAGAGATTGAGCCATTGCACTTCAGCCTGGGTGACAGAGCGAGACCCTATCTCAAAACAACAGCAACAACAACAACAACAACAACAGCAACAACAACAACAGCAACAGCAGCAGCAACAACAACAAAATAATAGAAACTCCAAGTTTTAGCTGGAAATGTGTCTGACTGCATAAAGATAACAGCTAAGCAGATGGCAGCCACAGAATGGAAGGAAACAGATCCCTGAATGATCCCCAAATGACCTCTTGGAGCACTTCACTTTTTATACCCTTTTCTTATAGTATCCTAGCCTGTACTCTAGCTGATTCACTGTGTGAATACTATTTGTTTAGAATTTTATTTGTGTTATCTATCTTTTTTAGTCTTTAATCCATTTCAATGCAATTCAATTCAATGTTTAGATAGAAGATTTTCACTTTCAGCCAAGATGGAATGACAGGGGCTAGATTTACCCTCCCTTACGAAACAATTAAGAATATTAAATACAATACACGAAACCATGGTTTGTGAGACAAGGCACATCAGGCAATGAAGAACAGTGATCCCTGAGAGATGGGAAACAAATGAGATGAGCCCTGTGATGATCCCAGCTTTCTGTTTGAGGGAATTTCCAGAAACCCAGGCAGAGCCTGGTGGGGTCCCTGAGTTGAGGAGATAGATCTGAGAGACAGAGAGAGAGAGAGAGAGCCCCTCAGATTTAAAGAGGGTCTCTCTTGCATATTCTAGCTGAGGCTGATCAGTGCATATATATGATACCCAAGGCCAGGAAAAAACAAAACCAAACAAAACCCTTAAAAGGATTAAAGGCAGTGCCATGCACTCAGAAGCAGAATATAGTCCCCGTTCCAACTAGTCAAAATAGAAAACCTTGTGATTCACATGGTGCTGAACAGAGTCCTCAAAAGTGTACTCTGAGTACTCAAAAGTGCCTCAGTAATTGGGTATTTTGTCCCTTGACTAGACACTGCTCTTGTTTTTTTTTTTTGAGACAGAGTCTCACTCAATCTCGGCTCACTGCAACCTCTGCCTCCCACTACCTAACAAATCTTAAAACCAAGATCTGAAAAGATCAACCTATTTCCAAGTAATGTAACTGCGTCCCAGATGAAGCTCAGGAATATTTATGGAAATACAAAAATACCCAGCGCCCAGCAAGGAAATATTCACAATGTGTGGCATCCAATCAAAGATTACCAGTCATGCAAAGAGGCAAGAAAACATGATCTATCATAAACAGAAAAATAAATCGAAACTGACACAAATGTTAGAATTAAAACTGTTATAAATGATTTCATATATTCAAAAAGTTAAGTAAAGACATGGAGGATATAAAAAATATTCAATATTTAGTCAGTTGCTTAAAAATTAATTCCTGGACTAAAGACAGAGCAGGAGGTGGGAGGAACAAACCGGGCAGGATATGACAACTAGAGGCAGTTTGTGTGAGGTAGAAGCTAGAATGTTAACGAAAGGGAAACAAAAATTTTAATTGGTACAAGATTCTTAATTTGAGGTCATGGGACTCCTGATAGACTGTTCCCATATTGTCAGATTCTCAAGTTCTCTATTTCTTTATATGCATCTCGCTCTATATATTTAATTCTGTGATTGTATTTAGATGATGATTTAAAAAGTTGAAAGCATGTTCTTGATTATCCTTATGATCAAGATATAGTCAGATCATGCCATAACAGACTTTCTGTCATAACTGTCACAGAAGTCAGGTGCACTATTCATTGCTCTGAATATATCTGTGACCACGTTGTCCTCAAGTAATCATATAAAGTAAGAGCTTTATCCAATGCAACATTTCTCACCTGGGATCTGAATATTCCTGCGTGTTTTAAGATGGATTTTGGACTTCCTCAAATTCTTGGATTCTAAATTAGTGGCCTAGAATGTTATTGCTGAGCATGATAATTTGTTGAATGAAGGAATTATGTAATTATGGGAAAAATTCTATTTATGTGCTGGGAATTTAAAGTTTAAAAAGATAATTTTTAAAATGTCTGTGATGTTAAGAGAATTTTGATAATTTTGTATATCTTCTTGAAAATATGCTGATAAGCAATAATTTTCAATTTCACAACTGAAATGGAAAAGTTTGGAAATAAACTACAGGAACATAGTTGGACTTTAGGTTTTGTGGAGTAGCAGATAATTATTTTAATTATTATTAGAGTTACAAAATGGCATTTATTTCAGCTACAGAATAAAAGCAGTTTCCTATGCTCGGCATATGGGACAAAGCCAAGTATTTATCCTTAAGACCAAAAGGGAAGAATCCAAATTTAACTTAGGCAGTTCAAAGACAACAATTGAGGTTAGAGGAAAAAGGCAGGTAGCACATATTTTCTATCTTATTTCATATAATTTCTATTTATACTGTGCACATATAGTGAATAGGGAAATTTGTTGCCATTATTTTAATGGTCTTTCTTTTTTAATGGCAGTTATGTTGTCTGGATCATATGTTATAATTGGTATCTTGATTCTCTCTGTGTGGAGATAATTTTTCTTGATTCGATTGCCTGAGTTATTAGCAGTCACTGCTACCTCTTGATAGTTGTTGAAATTGCTCTCACAGAGCTAGCAAGAAATAATCAGCATCTCTAGGCCTTATCTGGAAAAACAAATTTATAAAGTCACAGTGAATGACATAGAGTTCAAAATTGAGATAACCACAAATACTGCAATTCGATGTTCAATACAAAGAAAATGTTGAGTCTCAGTGGATTATATTTCTTTTATAAAATAAGCCTGTAATATTCAAATTATTCATATTTGGGGAAATTCTCCAGGATCACTGCAGTATGTTCAATTATTAAAATTATGAAATAAATGAGATGTCACAAATATCTGATTCTAATATTCATTTTTTATTTTTGCATCCAAATTAAGCTCAATTCTTTAGTTACAAGGGTTTAGGGATTTCTGGCTATGTTTGCCTTTAAAAAATCTAAATGCTGTATTAATTTTTCTTTCTTTGCTCAGTGTCTAGTAGCTCTAAATAAGAACAGATTTGAACTTTTTTATAGCTTTGTGACATCCACTCTTACAATTTTGTCAATTCAAATCTTTAAAGCCTATAAATTTACATTTTACATCTGCACACAAAGTGCTTATTTCATCATCTTCTTTCTTAGAATGGATGAGAATAACCACAGGAAATCATCATTGAATAGTAGCTTTAACACAGACTCCTATAGAATGGATAAATACCTTCTGTCAAGAACACTGCTCCGGGGCACGAATCCCACTAAAGAGTTGGCTTCAGACACTGGGAACTATCAAGCAGGTTATATTTCCTCCTATAAACATTAATCTATGACTTTAATCTGGCAAATATTTTGAAACAGATGATGATTTATTCTAGTTTATTCTGTATAACTTGTGCTTTGTATACCACACTCTTACAAACATATATACATTTGCACATAGATGATGAATCTTTTTGCTATGTTGATGAGTGATGTCTTTCATATAACCACAAGAAGATTTTTTTTTTTAATGCTATTCACTCATTGCAGTAGGCAGTAGGTAAACAAGAGCTGCCTTCTTCCCATGGGGGAGATCAAATGGCACGGAGTGGAGAGATCTATTTATCCAAGATAAACACAGAAATGTAGGTTGGAGGGAAGAGGTTACTGGGAGAAGAGAGATTTTTAGTTCTGAAGAAACTGGAGCCCAAAAGAGAATGCTTCTGGAGTAGCCAGGGGGAGGTAGGGCAGTTCAGATGGAACTGAGAAAAAGAAAAACAAGAAGGGCTGGCCCTTGGATGGTAGCCATCAAGCCAGACAGCCTGCTGAGCAGCCCCAACTTACTGACTTGAATTGCAACATTTTTTTCTGACCTGAGGTTTCTTCCAATTCATCTGCCTGCTATCTTTGCTGCAGTTGAGTGGATATTCTACTATAGTTCTTTCTTCCACAATTCCCTATATTCCTAGAATAATCTCTTGTTTGTATCACACAGAAAGTTTTTTTCCCGGTTACAACAGGTGATTACTGTTTGAGAGAAGAATAATAATGACAATATCTTACAGTTCTAATGAGCTTTAGACTTTTCTAAACAGTTTCTTATCTATTAGTTTTAGCACATTTGAATCTGAGAGCAACCCAGGGGATATGTGGTGGATTTAGAATTTACTTTGGATAGGCCAGGCGCGGTGGCTCAAGCCTGTAATCCCAGCATTTTGGGAGGCCGAGGCGGGTGGATCACGAGGTCAGGAGATCGAGACCATCCTGGCTAACACGGTGAAACCCCTTCTCTACTAAAAATACAAAAAATTAGCTGGACATGGTGGCACATGCCTGTAGTCCCAGCTATTCGGGAGGCTGAGGCAGGAGAATTGCTTGAATCCGGGAGGTGGAGGTTGCAGTGAGCCGAGATTGTGCCACTGCACTGCAGCCTGGGCAACAGAGTGAGATTCCATCTCAAAAAAAAAAAAAAAAGATTTCACTTTGGACAAAACAGGAAAAAGCAATTTAAAGTAGTAGAAATGAAGAAGAAATGGGTGCAAATGTGGGTAAGAGCATATGAGTCTAGCTAACTAATAAGGTGAGGATCTTAGACATGTAAAAAGAAAAAAATGGAAAAAATAATGTTTTCACGTATGTTTCTTTGATTATGTGGGTGGGGTTATTCAGATTCCCAGGGAATTTCTGCTCACTGACTTTCTGTCTTTGATCTGTTTTATGCATTTTCTGTGGCTTTTTTTAAAAAATATTTCATTCTCAGACAATATTTAGAATTCCTGGCAGCACTGTAAGCTTTTGAGATACCTTGAGGCAGGATCCCGAAGTGATTAAAAAGGTAGAAGGTATCTCACAAATATGTTAATAACTTGGTCTTATTTAACCATTCAGAAGGTAGTGAGAAAAATGATGTTAAGACAGTATATTTGAGTGCATTGTCCTATATAACTCATCTCTAACTGTGAGTTTTTTGAGAGAGATGGACTCATTTTATCTGTATTATCTTATCTGTAAAATCATGTTTGGAACTATTTGATCGCTTATATTCCATTTAGGCATAATGAGCTATGATACTCTCTAAAAATGTTGATGGAATTGTGGTAGATTATAAGTATAGAAACAGCAAGCAAAGTGAAACCATATCAATTGAATATCCTTTTCAAATCAAAACAAAGTTATAATGCAGTGTTTTTTTGTTTTTGTTTTTTTTTGAGACAGAGTTTCACTCTTGTCACCCAGGCAGAAGTGCAATGGCATGATCTTGGCTCACTGCAACCTCCACCTCCTGAGTTCAGGCAATTCTCCTGCCTCAGCCTCCCGAGTAGCTGTGATTACAGGCGCCTGCCACCAGGCCCAGCTAATTTTTTGTATTTTTAGTAGAGATGGGTTTTCACCATGTTGGCCAGGCTGGTCTTGAACTCCCGAACTCAGGTAATCTGCCCACCTCGGCCTCCCAAAGTGCTGGGATTACAGCCACCATGTGAGCAAAGTGCTGGGATTACAGCCACCACGTGAGCCACCACTCCTGGTGGCTGCAGTGTTAAATAAACCCTTGACACTCACATTTTAATAGAAAACTACAGACACTTTAGTCAACCTCAAATAATGAACCTGTATATTATGATTGTCTACAAATTCTAAAATTAAATTAAACTGGGCAAAGTAGTAACCAATTCCCCAAATTTAAATTACGTAAATGTTTTTTACAAGGGTGTTTCTCTGTGTTAGCAAGCATGTTCTTGAGGGGGCCAAGTCCGAATTCTAGGATTCAGAGCTTTCTGGGTTTAAACGGTGGTTTGAGATATTAGTTTGTTTTGGATTGGGGGAAAAAAAACTTAGTTGACATGGGAATTTGCTTTAACATTTTTAAATGAAAAAAATAGTTTTCTCTTTTAGAAATGCAAATTTGCTGTTTTAGATGGTGGTAGAGAGGAGGGCACTAATGTCCTAAATAAAGGCCAAGAAACTGAGGTTTGCTGTGAAAATGGATTTCTCTTTAGTAAGACCATTAAAAATGAGGTTCATTCATTTAACAGGTATTCAAAGAATGATTAACATATGGTTAACACTGCGTTGTTTGCTAAAAGGAATAGTAACAAAATTCAAGATATGGCTACTACCTGTCTCAAGTATTTTGAAAATAATGTGGAAGAGACAATTTATTTATCCTAAATAATTATTTAGCAGGGTAGAAACTATTGTGTCAAAATGTATAATATAAACAAGAATTCAATTAGAGATAAATTACTATTGGGAAAGCAGAAGAATGTTGTTTTGCAGAAGATGAAATGAGCTTCAATTGGCTTTAGAGAAATGAATGGATTGAGGGGTAAGGATAAGAAATTATAATTTAAATGTAGTGAGCAACATAAGCAAATGTTTACAGCCCATAGCAACCATGGTGCATGCAGGGTATAATGATCCTAGAGTGAGGGGTGTGGAGATTTGTGTTGAGATATTGTGGAAAATAATGGTAGGTAAGGTAAGGCCAGGTAATTGAGAGCTTTGAGTGGCAGAAAATTTGGATTGTATTTTCAGACAAAGGAAAGCCACTGACAGCTTTGAGGAGCTGAAATTAGCATCTGAAGAAGATAAATCTGAAGGCAGAATAATATATAGGTTGGATGTGATAGAAAAAGTATTGTGTTGTCAAAGAGATTTCCTTGGTTATAATTTTCATTGTACAACTTACTAGCTATGTATTGTTAGATAATTCACTGAACTTTCCTGGGCTTCAACAAAATCATCTATAAAGTCTCTAGGAAAGTGAGGGGAGAGGGTCCTTATTAGAGATATATTATTTTCAGATTTGCTTCCAGCTAGACTGGACCAGAAAGACAAATTAGAAAATTATACTATTAATCCAAGTGCAAGTTCACAATGACCTAGAAAAACTAATGAATATCCAGGAAAAAGGGAAAAGAAATGTCAGAGAGTTCCTCCTTTCTAAACTGGTTGATTCTTAAGAACCATAAATAGATTAGTTAAGGTATTGCTATGGTTTGAATATGTCCCCCAAAAAGCATGTGTTGGAAACATAATCCGCCATACAACAGTGTTGGGAGGTGGGGCCTAATGAGGAGTGACTAGGCCATGAAGGCTCTGCCCTCATGAATAGATTGATGCCATTATCAAGGGAGTGGGTTTGTTATACTGGGATTGGATTCCTCATAAAACAATAAATTTTGTCTTCCTCTCTGTCTTGCTCTCTCTTTGCCCTTTTGCCTCCCATCATGGGATGATGTAGCAAGAATGCCCTCTCCAGATGCCAGCCCCTAATCCTCGGCTTTCTAGCCTCCAGAACTGTGAAAAATAAATTTCTGTTTACTATAAATTGCCCAGTCTTGGGAGGTTCTGTAAGAGCCGCACAAAATGGATTATAAGAAGAGTGAGGTGTTGTTATTAACAAATACCTGAGAATGTGGAAGCAGCTTTGGAACTGGGTAATGAGCAGAAGCTGAAAGAGTTTGGAGGTGCGGGCAAGAAAGCCTAGAATCCCATCAATGGGATTTTGGGTGAGGTCTCAGAAGAGAAGAACTGTGCAGAAAATATAAAACTCCTTAGATATAATTAATTGAATAATTAATTAATTTTTAAACTTTTTTTAAGTTGAGGGGTACATGTGCAGGTTTGTTATATAAGTAAACTTGTGTCATGGAGGTTTGATGTACAGATTATTTTGTCATGCAAGTACTAAGCCTAGGGCCCAGTAGTTATTTTTTTCTGGTCTTCTGCCTTCTTCCATCCTCCTCCCTCAAGCAGACCCCAATGTCTGTTGTTTCCATTTCCTTCTTTGTATTCATGTGTTGTCATCATTTAACTCCCACTTATAATTCAGAACATGTGATATTTGGTTTTCTGTTCCTGTGTTAGTTTGCTAAGGATAATGGCCTCCAGCTCCATCCATGTTCCTGCAAAGGACATGATGTCATTCTTTTTTATGGCTGCATAGTATTCCATAGTGTTTATGTACCATATTTTATTTATCCAGTCTTCCATTGATGGACATTTACGTCAAATCCATGTCTTTGCTATTATGAATAGTGCTACAGTGAACATATGTGTGCATGTGTCTTCATGATAGAATGATATATATTCCTTTGGGTTATACCTAGTAATGAGATTGCTGGATTGAGTGGTAGTTCTATTTTTAGCTCTTTGAAGAATCACTACACTGGTTTCCACAATGGTTGAACTAACTTGCATTTCCACCAGCAGTGTATAAGCATTTCCTTTTCTCTGCAACCTTGCCGGGCATCTGTTATTTTTTGACTTTTTAATAGTAGCCCTTCTGATTACTGTGAGGTGGTATCGAATTGTGATTTTGATTTACATTTCTCTAATGATCAGTGATATTGAACTTTTTTCCATATGCTTATTGGCCACGTGTATGTCTTCTTTTGAAAAGTGTCGGTTCATGTCTTTTCCCCACTTTTTAATGGGGTTGTTCATTTATTTCTTGTAAATTTGTTTAAGCTCCTTATAGATGCTGGATATTAGATCTTTGTTAGATGCATAATTTGCAAACATTTTCTCCCATTCTGAGGGTATCTGTTTACTCTGTTGATTGTTTCTTTTGCTGTGCAGAAGCTCTTTAGTTTAATTGGATTCAACTTGTCAATTTTTGCTTTTGTTGCAATTGCTTTTGGCATCTTTGTCATGAAATCTTTGCCAGGTCCTGTGTCCAGTATGATATTGCCTAGGTTGTTTTCCAGGACTTTTAAAGTTTTGGGTTTTAAATTTAGGTCTTTAATCTACCTTGAGTTGATTTTTGTCTATGGCATAAGGAAAGGGTCCAGTTTCAGTGTTCTGCATATGGCTAGCCAGTTATCCCAGCACCATTTTTTGAATAGGAGAGTCCTTTCTCCACTGCTTTTTTTGTCAGCTTTGTTGAAGATCAGATGGTTGTAGTTTTGTGGCCTTATTTCTGGGCTCTTTATTCTGTTCCATTGGTCTATGTTTCTGTTTTTGTACCAGTACCATGCTGTTTTGGTTACTGTAGCCCTGTAGTATAATTTGAAGTCAGGTAGTGTGATGTCTCCAGCTTTTTTCTGTTTGCTTAGGACTTAAACTTTAAAATGCTTTTTTCCTAGTTCTATGAAGAATGTCATTGGTAGCTGGATAGGAATAGCATTGAATCTGCAAATTGATTTGAGCAGTATAGTGATTTTAATAATATTGATTCTTCCTATACATGAGCACAGAATGTTTTTCCATTTATTTGTGTTTTGTAATTCTCATCGTAGAGATCTTTCACCTCCCTGGTTACGTGTATTCTAGGCATTTTATGTGTGGCAATTATGAATGGGTTTGTGTTCCTGAGTTGGCTTTTGGCTTGACTGTTGTTGGTGTGTAGGAATGCTAGTGTTTTTCAAACATTAATTTTGTATCCTGAAAATTTGTTGAATTTTTTTTTTATCACCTTAAGGAGCTTTTGGGCTGAGACTGTGGAATTTTCTAGATATAGAATAATCTCATCTGCAACAGGGATAGTTTGACTTCCTCTTTTCCTATTTGGATGCCCTTTATTTATTTCTCTTGCCTTATTCTCTGGCCAGGATTTCTAATACCGTGTTAAATAAGAATGGTGAGAGAGGGTATCATTTTGTGCTGATTTTCAAGGGTAATGCTTCCAGCTTTTGCCCGTTCAGTATGATGTTGACTGAGGGTTTGTCATAAGTGCCTTATTATTTTGTGATATGTTTTTTCAATATCTAGTTTGTTGAGACTTTTTAACACCAAGAGATGTTGAATTTTATTGAAAGCCTTTTCTGCATCTATTGAGTTAATCATGTGTTTTTTGTCTTTAGTTTTGTTTATGTGATGAATTACATTTATTGATTTGCATATGTTGAACCAAGCTTGTATCCCAGGGATAAAGCCTACTTGATCATGGTGGATTAGCTTTTTGATGTGCCGCTGGATTTGGTTTTCTAGTATTTTGCTGAGAATTTTTCCGTTGATACTCATCAAGGATGTTGGTCTGAAGTTTTCTTTATTTGTTGTGTCTCTGCCAAGTTTTGGTTTCAGGATGATGCTGGTCTTATAGAATGAGTTTGGGAGGAGTCCCTCCTCATCAGTTTTTTTGGAATAGTTTGAGTAGGAGTGGTACCAGCTCTTCCTTGTACATCTGGTAGAATTCAGCTGTGAATCCATCTTGTCTAGGGCTTTCTTTGGTTGGTGGGCTATTTATTACTGCTTCAGTTTCAGAGCTCATTATTGATCTGTTCAGGGATTCATTATGGTGGGAGCGAGTTGCTTTTAAAGGGACAAGAGTAGCCCCCTTTTTGCTTTCACTTGCCCTCTCTTTGCCATTCTGCTTTGTACCATGGAATGACACAGCATGAAGGTCCTCACCGGAGGTCAGCTTGTAGTTCTTGGACTTCCCAGCCTTCAGAACTGTGAGCCAATACGTTTCTGTTGCTTATAAATTATCCAGTCTCAGATAGTCTGTTAGAGCAGCACAAAACAAACTAAGAAAATTGTGAAATGATTAGAGGAGAAGTCTGTAATTAAATGGGTACATTGACCTTAATATGATGTTAGGACATCCAATTCTATATAACAAAATGTAGATGAGTAAAAAGTATTTATTATGCCCTTAAACAATACTATTACTTTATCTTATATTCTTTTATATTCATTCTTCTTTCTCTCATACCCAAAGTCAATCTGTTACCTAATACTTTTATCTATCTTAGATAATGTTTGTACTAATCTAGTTCTCTCCATCCACTTTGCCTTTAGCCACATGGATTACTATTACAGATTGTGATAAATTGGCAAGAAAGCCAGATATATTAGGGATGGTAGCAGCAATACAAGAAAAATTTAGGTAGTTTAAGTGAAGTTATTTTTATATATTCCAGCCAATTTCATGGTCTTAATCACTTTAGAACTGGGAGAAGGTAAAGAGAAGGGAGCCAGGCATTTTGTTACAGAATTCATGTACCTGCAGGCCTTACACACAATAAATTCAGGAGAGCTTGGTGATTAGGTAAGATATAGTTCAAAAAATAGAAGGGGAAATAAATTTTGTTTATGTAGCTGTGCCATATAAAACGGTTCTCATATAAAAGTGGATCATGGTTCTCTGGCCCAACTTTGTAGAACTCAAAATCCGAGAACTCCTAATTCTTGGAGGTCTTTTATTGAATCATTGGAACTTTGTATTTTTAAAGCCTATTCTAGATATCTGAAAATTACTTCTGCGCCTTTCATCTCCTGTAAGAGTCTCCATGATGGTGCAGTAACTACTCCACAAGATCCTATCATGAACCAATTTCTTCATGTTTAAGATTAACTCCAGATGAGCAGAGCATATTCCCCATTTTTTGCAGTTACTTCGGAAAGGCCATATATATACATGGATGTATTTTTAGCTTTAATAATTCAAAATAACCACAGTTTCTATATTTAGAAGAATATGTTTGTAATCTCTTTATTTTCTAGGTTGTTCTGTGAACTGATCTTGTCACCTTTAAGGAGACAGACTATATGCTTCATTGGAAGGGTGGTTTTAAAAATTATAGATGGACCCTAAATTTTACAGTTTTATTTTTCATAAAGTATTTTCTTATTTTGCATTATTATGCATTGATATCCATAAGCTCTTTCTAGTGGCACTCTAAACTTATACCTCACGTATTATCTGAAAAACAAGAATTTTGAGCTATGTTGGCACTGCCTGACAGCCAACCAGTCTGTTTGTCATTGTTCACGGTTTTGTACTTCATTATCTGAATATTTTATTGCATTCGTCCTTATTCATTTGGAAAAAATGGATAAATAGAAAAAGTAATAAGTGTAGGTTTCATAAACTTCAAAAATTGCAACAAAGATTGAAATAATTGGCTGTGCAAAAAATGATGAATTTTTTAGCTCCAGTTCAATACTCAGCTAATTGAGTGCTCAATTATAAGGGAAAAGAATAAAATTAAAGAATATGTACAAAATGTTAGAGATAGACTGCCAAAACTGAGTATTAGAGTTCTATAATTTTTAAATTTTATAGGGATAGATCTTTACCTACAAGTCCTAATGTTTTCACTTCACTTCTACAATTTGAATTTTTGTTTTAGAAAGACATCATAATTAAAAGTCTTGTACTGAATTTCTTCTTTACCCTATTAACCTGTCAATGTTGTTTGGGGTTTTTGTAATCAGAAGGAAATTAGTTATTCCTTCTAGATCATCCACATGCCGCATTCAGTAGAAATATTCTATTCCTACGTATAAGAGACACATCTACCCAGTATTCTGCTTTTTTTGGGGTGGTTCCCTATATTTTCAAGTGCTCATATGGAGAGTTGTTCCAAATTAACTAAATTTTAGTAACAGAATATTTTAAAAGTTACAAAATTAATTTCATTAGATTTTTGTTATAACACATCCCACTGATCCTCAATTGATTTTGCTGAGCATAGTATTCTCTGGCTGAAGCCGTATAATCTTGGCTGGTTCAAGACTATTTGGTCCAGTGTATTTGATTATTCTTTCCTTCCTCACAAATATTTTCTTATCATTCATTTATTTATGGGAAGTCAAAATGAGTCTATTTAGACTCATCTTCCTTGAGTTTGCTTTTAGATATTTGCCAGAAAATTTCTTTTTCAATCATTGTTTCACTTATGATGTTATTTTATTCAAAATACTCCATCCCATTCCAGATCTCCAGATCTGGATTTCAATAAACCCCATCATCTTTCCCCTCCTTAATCCCTTCCTCAAAAGTCTCATTTTTCATTATTCTTTTGCTTTTATTTATTAATGAAGTCAAATTTATCTTCTTGGCATATTCACATAATATTTGTTTTAGCATTCAGATGGAGGAGAGGGAAGAAAAGGGTTGAAGGAGACAATGGGGTAGGGGAGGAAGGGAAGACAAGAAAGAGAAAGCGGAAAGTATCTGAAGGAGGAGAGGACAGAACAGGCCTCTGCTATTCCATGTGGTATCTCAGTGTAAATGTGCACCGGGTACAGAGCTTTATCAGTAGAGCCTGGGATGCATGCCTCTTGCACCCCACTTGCCCCTTTTGGTGTGAAGGGAACATTTTGTGTAGGTGCAATTCTGTGCACTTGCCTTGGGAAGCAGCAGAAGATGAAAATTTCTCTTACCAGGAGAAATAACTGTTAACTTACCCTGCTTCCCAGAACATGTATTATGTTACTCTTAGAAAGCAGGTTGTTCCTCATGTGCTAGTTACCATTCCCTGAGATAGTCATTATGGCCTTTCCATGGGAATATAATTCCGACCCTGTCTCCCTCCACATGTGCCAGGACCTTGGGCCTCCAAAGCATTTGCTGTTCTTTCTCTAAGACCTGTCAGCTCTCCATTATAAGTAAGTCAAGGTGCCCCTTTCCTACTGAACTCTATCCAACACAAACTTTTACTTTTCAGATGTGCAGATTGAATATGTTTCACTTGGTAATGTTGGAAGGGAGGAACTAAGGTAAGGCACACAGAATATTTAATTTTATATCACCACGGTAGATCAGCTAAAATTAAGTATTACACTTACCTTTGGGTTGGTGAATTTTTGTCCTTGTTTTAAACTTACATAGCATCTCACATTTGTATAATTGGATTATAATTTAAAAAATTAAAACAACTCCTTGTAAAAGGGCAAAATTGGAAATCACAACACTCTTTTAAAGCTGTATCATAAAGCTACAATTATGTGATTATTTATAAAATTTTTAAAGTACCAAAAAAATTTTAAAAGAAGTGTTCTTGTAGATAAAATACCATGGTATATGTAATTAGAACTCTTCATGATTCCCTCCCTGAATTGTAAGGACTAACTTCTCATAGAGGACTGGTCTGTTAAGGGAAAAATTCAACCCTGTGATGTCAGGTTCACATTGACTTTCGTGAGTCTCAAGGGAGCATTTTTTACTGTCAGAATATGAGCAACTAATAACCCAAAAGATTTTTCTCTGGCAGTCCCTGGAGCTTAAAAATTTTGTCAGAGATATATTTCTGGTACATCAGGAAGTCCACTCTTGTGATGTGACTCATTCTCGCTTATGCAGGCATTTTTGGGAAAAATTGTTTTGTGGATGCCACAACTATATCAGAGGGCTGTATGTTAGCATTTGTATCTTTCTACATACATTTAATAGTTTCCAGTTGCAAAAGTTGGAAAGGGGCAATGAAATATATTTCAGTCAATATGTCCTCATAGAATCTATTTGAGTGTCTTAAGGGAATGCATTAAAAAGAAAATTCAACTGATAGGATTTATCTTAATATGGGACACATTTGCTAAATGTTATTTCTTTTTTTTAATAGGTGCATAGTAAATATGTACTTCTTTAATTTTAGTTTTTGTGGGTACATAAGTGAACATGTGTATAGGGTCCATGAGATATATTGACACAGGCATGCAAAGCATAATAATCACATCATGGAAAATGGGGTATCCATGCCCTCAAGCATTTATCCTTTGTGTTTCAAACAAATATACAATTAAATTATTATTAACTATAGTTATCCTGTTGTGCTATCAAGTACTAGATCTTATTCAATTTTTTTTTGTACCTATTAATCATCCCCTCCTATCTCCGCACTACCCTTCCCAGCGTCTGGTAACCATCCTTCTACTCTCTCCATGAATTCAGTTGTTTTGATTTTTAGATCCCACAAATAAGTGAGAACAGGTGAAGTTTGTTTCTCTGTGCCTGGCTTATTTCACTTAACATAATGACCTCCAGGTCCATCCATGTTATTGCAAATAGCAGGATCCCATTCTTTTTTATGGCTGAATAGTATTCCCTTGTGTATATATACACCACATTTTCCTTATTCATTTATCGATGGACACTTGGGTTGCTTCCAAATCTTGGCTATTGTGAAAAGTGCTGCAACAAACATGCAGATATCTCATCAGTGTACTGCTTTTCTTTCTTTTGGGTATATGCCCAGCAGTGGGATTGCTGGATCATATTTATTTTTAGTTTTTTGAGGAACCTCCAAAAAACTCCATAGTAGTTGTTCTCCATAGTAGTTGTACTAATTTACATTCCCACGAACAGTGTATGACAGTTTCCTTTTTTCCACATCCTACTCAGCATTTTTTATTGCTTGCCTTTTGGATAAAATTCATTTTAACTGGGGTGATATGAAATTTCATTGTAGTTTTGATTTGCATTTCTCTGATGATCAGTGATGTGAGCACCTTTTCATGTACCTGTTTGCCATTTGTATATCTTATTTTGAGAAATGTCTACTTAAATATTTTGTGCATTTTTAGTCAAATAGATTTCTTCATGTAGAGTTGTTTAAGCTCCTTTTATATTCTGGTTATTAATCCCTTGTCAGATGGGTAGTTTACAAATATTTTCTTTCATTCTGTGCATTGTCTCTTTAGTTTATTGATTGTTCCCTTTGCTGCACAGAAGCTTTTAACTTCATGTGATCCCATTTGTTCATTTTTTCTTTGGTTGCCTGTGTTTGTGGGGTATTACTTAACAAATTTTTGCCCAGACCCATGTCCTGGAGACTTAGCTCAATATTTTCTTGTAGTAGTTTCTTAATTTCAGGTCTTAGATTTAACCTGTTTCCCATTTAGAAAAAAAAAGTGCAGCTCACTGCCAGAACTCATTTAATTTTACATAAACAAACTCTTTGAGGCTGAAGCAAATCTGATTAATTTTCCAATGTAAAATTAATATGAAAATATTTCATTTTCTAATGTGAAAATAAAATATAAAAACTGTTCTTGGAGTTATTTCTAAACAGAACTTGTCTCTAATCCTAATATATATGATGTTACATTAGGATTAGAGACAAGAGTATTCTTGGGGCAAAAGGGAAATGAGTTGAGTCTTTAATCCATTTTGATTTGATTTTTGTATATGGTGAGAGATAAGAGTCTAGTTTCGTTTGTCCATATATGGATTCCCAGTTTTCCCAGCACTGTTTATCGAAGAGACTGTCTTTTCTCCAGTGTATGTTCTTGGCACCCTTGTTGAAAATGAGTTCACTGTAGGTGTGTGGATTTGTTGGTTGGCTCTCTATTCTGTTCCATTGGCCTATGTGTCTGTTTTTCTGTCAGTATCATGCTGTTTTGTTTACTATAGCTGTGTAGTATAATTCGAAGTCAGGCAATGTGATTCCTCTAGTTTTGCTCTTTTTGCTTAGGATAGCTGTGGCTATTCTGGGTCTTTACTGGTTCCATATAAATTTTAAGATTGTTTTCTCTATTTCTGTGAAGAATGTAATTAGTATTTTGATACAGATTGCATTGAGTCAGTAGATTGCTTTTAGTAGTATGGACATTTTAGTAATATTGATTCTTCCAATCCATGAACATGGATTATCTTTCCATTTTTTGGTGTCCTCTTCAATTTCTTTCAGCAGTGTTTTATAGTTTTCATTATAGAGAACTTTCACTTCTTTGGTGAATTCAGTTTCTAGGTGTTTAATTATATTTATAGTTATTGTAAATAGGATTATTTTCTTGATTTCTTTTCAGATTGTTCACTCTTGGCATATAGAAATGCTACTGATTTTTGCATTTTGCTTTGGTATCCTGCAACTTTACTGAATTTGATTATCGGTTCTAATAGTTTTTTGGTGGAGTCTTTCGGTTTCTACAGAAATAAGATCATATCATCTGCAATCCAGGATAATTTGATTTCTTCCATTCCAATTTGGATGCCCTTTATTTCTCTCTCTTGTCTTATTGCTCTAGCTAGGACTTCCAGTACTATGTTGAATAATAGTGGTGACAGTGGGCATCCCTGTTGTGTTCCAGATCTTAGAGGGAGGGCTTTCAAATTTTCCCCATTCAGTGTGATACTAGCTGTGCACCTGTCATATATGGCTCTTTATTGTGTTGAGGTATGTTCCTTCTATTCCCCGTTTTTTGAGTTTTTTTTTTTTAACATGAAGGAATGTTGAATTTTATCAAATGCTTTTTCAGCATCAGTTGAAATCATAGGTTTTTGTCTTTCATTCCATTGATATGGTGTATCACATTGATTAATTTGTGTATGTTGAACCATCATTGCATTTCAGGGGTAAATCCCACTTGACCATGTTGAAGGATCTTTTTAATCTATTATTGAATTTGGTTTGCTAATATTTTGTCGAAAATGTTTGCATCAATATTAATCAGGATATTGGCCTGTAATATTCTCTCTCTCTCTCTCTCTCTCTCTTTCTCTCTCAATGTGTTTTAGTCTGGTTTTGATATCAGGTTAATACTGGCCTCATAGAATGAGTTTGGAAATATTCACTCCTCCTCTATTTTTTGAAATAATTTGAGTAGAGTTGGTATTAGTTCTTCTGTAAATGTTAGGTAGAATTCAGCTGTGAAGCCATTGAGTCCAGGCTTTTCTTTACAGGGAGACTTATTACTATGGTTTCAATCTCATTACTTGTTATTTGTCTGTTTACGTTTTGAATTTTGTTCTTGTTTAATTGTGGTAGGTTGTATGTGTCTAGAAATGTCTTCATTTCTTCTAGATTTTCCAATTTATTGGCATATAGTTACTCATAGTAGCCACTAATAATCATTTGAATTTCTGCAGTATCAGTGAAAATGTCTTCTTTTTCATCTCTGATTTTTAAGTTTGGGTCTTCTCTCTTTTTTCTTAGTCTGGCAAAAGCATTGTTGATTTAGTTTAACTTTTCAAAAACTAACTTTTTGTTTCATTAATTTTTTTTCACTTCAATCTTATTTCTGCTCTGATCTTTATTATTTCTTTCCTTCTGATTTGGAATTTGGTTTACTCATTTTTCTAGTTCTTTAGCATGAATAGTTAGGTTGTTTATTTGAAGTTTTTTCTCTTTTCCGATGTAGGCACTTATAGCTATAAACTTCCCTCAGTACTGCTTTTGCTGTATCCCCTAGGTTTTGGTATGTTGTGTTTCCATTATTATTTGTTTCAAGAAAAATTTCAATTTCCTTCTTAATTTTTTCATTGACCCACAGTTATTCTGAAGCATATTGTTTAATTTTCATGTTTGTTTGTATACTTTCCAAAATTCTTCTTGTTATTGATTTTTAGTTTCATTCCATTGTGGTCAGAGAAGATGCTTGATATTATTTCAATTTTTTTGAATGTTTTAAGACTTGTTTTGTGAACTAATATGTGGTCTATCCCTGAGAATAATCCATGTGCTGAGGAAAAGAATGTGTATTCTGTAGCCATTGGATGAAATGTTCTGTAAATATCTACTAGGTCCATTTGGTATATAGTGGAGATTAAGTGCAATGTTTCTTTGTTGATTTTCTGTTTGGACGATCTGTCCAATGCTAAAAGTGGATGTTGGTCTCCAGCTACATTTAGGGCCTATCTCTCTCTTTAACTCTAATAATATTTGCTTTATATATCTGGGTGTTGCAGTGTTGGGTGCATATATATTTATAATTGTCACATCCTCTTGCTGAATTGAACCCTTTATCATTATAGTATGACTTGCTTTATCTCTTTTTATAGTTTTTGTCTTGAAATTTATTTTGTATGATATAAGGTAGCTACTCCTGCTCCTTTTTGGTTTCAATTTGCATGGAATATCATTTTTCCATACCTTTATTTTCAGTATATATGTGTATCTTTATAGATGAAGTGTGTTTCTGGTAGGGAACAGATCGTTGGTTCTTTTTTTTTTCTTTTAATCCATTCAGCCACTCTGTGTCTTTTGATTGGAGAGTTTAATCCATTTATAATCAGTGTTATAATTGATAAGTAGAGCTGTTCCTGTCATTTTTTAAATTGGTTTTTGGGTTGTTTTGTGGTTCTTCACTTTCTTTTCTTCCTATCTTTTTTTTTTTTTTAGTGAAAGTGGTGTTCTACTTTGATACAATTTAGTTTCTTTTTATTTTTTGTGTATTCATTGTAGGCTTTTTGGTTTGAGGTTATCATGAGGCTTGCAAATGTTATCTTATAACCCATGATTTTAAGCTAATAACAGCTGAACACTGTTTGCATAAACAAACAAAACAAGCAAAAATAAAACTAATGAAGACTCTACTCCTTAACTTCATGTCCCTGCCTTTAAGTTTTTGTTATTTATACTTGTATCTTATTGTAGTGCCTATGTCTTGCAAAGTTGTAATCATTTTGATTGGTTCATTGTTTAGTCTTTCTAGTTAAGAATAGTTTACACACCACAGATTTTTTTTTTTTTTTTGAGACGGAGTCTCGCTTCTTTGCCCAGGCTAGAGTGCAGTGGCGCAATCTTGGCTCACTGCAAGCTCTACCTCCCGGGTTAATGCCATTCTCCTCCCTCAGCCTCCCGAGTAGCTGGTACTACAGGCGCCCACCACCACGCCCGGCTAGTTTTTTTGTAGTTTTAGTAGAAATGGGGTTTCACTGTGTTAGCCAGGATCTCGATCTCCTGACCTTGTGATCCGCCTGCCTCAGCCTCCCAAAGTGCTGGGATTACAGGTGTGAGCCACTGCGCTCAGCCCACACCACAATTTTATAATATTATAGTGTTATCATATTCTGTGTTTCTTTGTTTGTGTACTGACTACTACCAGTGAGTTTTGTACCGGAAGATGATTTCTTATTGCTCATCAACATTGTTTTTTCTTTTTTCTTTCCTATTGAAGTACTCTCTCTAGCATTTGTTACAGAACAGGTCTGGTGTTGATGCAATTCCTCAGCTTTTGTTTGCCTGGGAAAGTCTTTATTTCTCTTTCATGTTTGAAGATGTTTTCACTGAATATACTATTCTAGTGTAAACTTTTTTTCTTTCATCACTTCAAATATGTCATGCCACTCTCTCCTGCCTGCGAGGTTTCCACTGAAAAGTCTGATGCCAGATGGATATGAGCTCCATTACACGTTATTTGTTTCTTTTTTTTTGCTGCTTTTAGGATCCTTTCTTTATCCTTCACATTTGGATGTTATTTGGAATAACAGCATTTGTCCATTTACAATCAGTTTGTATTAGAGAGTAGCAAGCAGTAGTTAAGTGGATCACTATGGTGCCAAGTACGTTCTTCTCTGACCATATTGTACCAATATTGTGTAACACTCTATCTCCTCCTGATGGTCAGGTCCACTTCCCCTGTCAAGATCGCATCGACACTGTGTGCCTGCTGGTCTCTTGAAACAAGAGCTCATAGTACAGTGACTTTAGAGTACAATGAAACTCTTACTGTGGCTGAGCATTCTCCATTTGCAGAGATGAGAATGCAAATTTCCCAGGTGGGTTCATGGGAAAGATGGTAAGTGGGATCATTTCTAGTTTTGCCCTTTATTAGTTTTCTCTTGCTGCATAAGAATTTAACATGAACCTGGAGGCTTAAAACAACATCATTGGCTCACAGTTCTATAGGTCAGAAGTCTGGCATGGCTAGATGCAGTATCAGAAGATTGACATCAGTGTCAGCCAGGCTGAGTGCTTGCCTGGAGGCTCTGGGGAAAAGTACACTTTCAGGCTCATTCTTCTTGACAGAATTTAATTCTTGCAGTTGTGGGATGGAGGTGCTGGTTATCTTGCTGCCTGTCAGCTGGAGACAGGCCTAAACTCCAAGAGGCCACCTGTATTCCTTGCCATGTGGCTTCTTCTGCCCTCAAGTCAGCAACTGTACTTCAAATTCTTCTTGTGCTTTCTTCTTCTTTCACCAGCTGGAGAAAATTCTGTGCATTTATGGTGTTCATGTGACTAGGACAGGTCATGTAGAATAACCTCCTCATCTTATAGTCAACTGTGCCATTTAACATAACCTAATTCCAGAGAGAAAATGCACTGCATTCACAGTCTTAAGGACTACTCAGGGTATATACATGGGGTGGGGGTATAGAAAATTGTGGGGCAACTTACAATTCTGCTTACTACACATCTGTTCTTCTATATATATCCTTTCTATTGAGGATAGAGCACCACCTAAAAGTTGTTGATTTACAATGTGCACTGTATCTTAAAAACATACCTTATTGTGGCAAAACAGGATCTCAAATGGACTCTTCAATTATGCGTTTAATAGACCGTTCCATTGCTCTGTCACAATGGAAGCTTCTGAGTGATACAACCATAGGATCTCTTTATCACATGACATTCTGTACCTTCTTTCTGTACCTTCTTTGTATAATGTGAGCCAATGAACAATGGTCCTGCTGAGGCTGTGTGGGCATAAAACATAAACTCATATACGGATATTTGTCTCTTCCTGTCAAAATGAGTCATTATACCTTTCAGGGTGTAAGGGCCTCAATATTTAGTAAACTTGTCACTCATGGTTGGTTCATTCATTGTCTTGAGAGGTGATGTCATACCAGGCATCTGTTACCAGCAGCACAGACCACACTGAACTGATGGTCTCTATTGCTGAAAATTTTGACCTTGGGTGGTGGTAATAGCCAGATCAGCCTTAATAAGTGGGAGTTCCTGCTCTTAGTCCATGCATAATCTCGGTGCCTGCCACTGTCGCTACCCTGTGCCACTGTGGCTACCATTTTCCTGTGCCTTTTTGGCCAGGACTTGGATATCTGATAACAGAAGTTGACTGATGGCAACTGGTTGAGTCATTTGGTCAACCTCATTTTGAGATCCTTCTCTTTGGTTAATTATGTTAGGCTGCTTTTTGTGTTGCTATAAAGGAATACCTGAGGCTAGGTAATTTATAAAGAAAAGAGGTTTAATTGGCTCCCAGTTCTGCAGGCTATACAGGAAGCATGGTGCCAGCCTCTGCTTCTGGTGAGGGCCTCAGGAAATTAAAATCATGGCATAAGATAAAGAGGGAGCAGGCACATTACATGGTAACAGTGGGAGCAAGAGAGAGAGGGAAGGTGCTGCCCACTTTTAAACAACCAGATCTTGCATGAGCTAACTAAGCAAGACCTCACTCATCACCAAGTTGCACCCATGATCCAATTACCTCACAACAGGGGACTGAACTTCAATATTGGAGATTACATTTCAACATGAAATTTGGAGGGGACAGACATCTCAACCATATCATTAATGCTCTGTTAGTCCATAATGTATGATACAAAGGCCTTCATATTTCCTGCTCACTACCATTTGTATATGCACATACCTTTAACTTAGACCTCTTTGTCCCTAATTTTTCAATATTTCTCCTTCCATGCTCCAAATGTACATATATATTACATATTACATATATGTAATACATGTACATATATTTATATATAGATATATGTATATATCTATGTATATATGTAATATGATCATATATATTGTGGCCAGTGACAAATGGCCACACTTAAATATATGTACATGTATTTTATATTGACACATATATTGCATATATGTACATATATTTTATATTGACATATGTATATATCTACATATATATGTAATATGATCATATATCTCATATCCAGTGACTTATATACATATTTACATACGTGTGTGTGTGTGAGTGTGTGTGTGGGCATGTGTGTGGGCCACTTCTCTTTCCACCCAGAATTAATGGGCAAGCGCATGATGTTCTTCCAGTTTGGAGGATTTTCCACAGCAGTGTCTTTTGAGGCCACTTCTGAGATGGCGTGCGCTCACATGTCTAGATGGTGCATCTGTGAACCAAGCTCAGGTGTTTTACCATTTTTGTACATAAAAAGACTGAGCACTGTAAGTCACATGTTCAAGGTCACACAGAGGGGCATTGGCATAGTCAGGATGTGAGCTGGAATCTCAAGCTTATCAGTCTGATGTCTCTCCGTTCTACTGGCTTTTCCTTGATAATATCAAAGGTAAATGAGATAATATCCTCTGACTTGGTTAGGTTAGGATTTAGACCTAGTTATTGGCCTTTTGTCCAGGAGGGAAAGTGGGGACAGATGCTGAGGATAGTACATGTCACCTTCGTAGGAGAGCCTTTGGCCTCTTCTTTAAGCAAGAGGTAGTGCTTGCTTCCCCTTTAAAAGAGAGGAGTGGACTGCTTCTGCATTCAGGAGGGTTTAGGGATATCTGAAGATTCAAGATTTTGCAGCCATCAACCCTGTTGTGCCTATCTTATTTGTTAGAGTCCCTTTTTTTCCCCCTACCATGGCTCTGATATTGCCATAGCAGGCCTTCTTTGGTGGGAGTTTAACATTCTTTGGAGCTTGGTTACCCTGACAATTAAGTCTTTGGCCTGGTCCTCTGCTTTCTCTGTCCTTTTGCTGCAGGAGATGTGTATTAATCCATTCTTGCACTGCTTTAAAGAACTACCTGAGACTAAGTAATTTGTGAAGAAAGGAGGTTTAATTGACTCACAGTTCTGCAGGCTGTACAGGAGACATGGCTGGGGAGGCCTCAGGAAACTTACAATCATGGTGGAAGCAAGTACGTCTTCACAAGGTGGAGCAGGAGAGAGAGCACGAAGTGGGAAGTGCTGCACACTTTAAACCAGATCTTGTGAGAACTCTCTCACTGTCATGAGAACAGCAAGGAGGAAATTTGCCCCCGTGATCCAGTCACCTCCCACTAGACGCCTCCCCACCCCCAAAAACTGGGAATTACAATTCAGCATGAGATTTGGGTGGGGACACCAAGCCAAACCATATCAAGATGAAAGCTCCTTTATAAGCTACTAAAGAGGCATTCTGGCCTTCACACCTTTTAATTACTGATCAACACATTCAGCTTCTTGTTATTCTTTTCAAAAGCATCAATAATGCTTAGCGGCAGCCACTTAATTCCATTGTTTTTAGAGTTACTATTCTCTCTCTATTTCTCAAATGCCAATATAATATCAACCAATACATTTCCTTGCAACAGTATGCTATCCCGGTTTACCACCAGTGAAAGTTTAGCAATTATTCTGCTCTCTCGTACCTGGAGACATCTGTGCTTCAGTTACCACCAGTGGGGGGCGGTTCCTTATTGCCATCCAGGTCGTGGGTGATTGAGCTTCAAAATCTCATCTTAGTATCTGCTTTTATGGACCATTCCTGGCACAAACTGTTAGAGGTTGTGTTCTCTGGGAAGCTGACTCTGAAATGGAGATTGACATGCAGGGCATTTATTAGGGAGTTGATATGGTTTTGTTCTGTGTCCCCACCCAAATCTCATCTCGAATTCAAATTCCCGTAATCCCCGAGTGCCAAGGGTGGAACCAGGTGGGAGGTGATTGGATCATGAGGACGGTTCCCCCATGTTGTTCTTGTGATAGTGAGTTCGCATATGATCTGATGATTTTGTAAGTGTTTGACAGTTTCTCCTTCACACACACTTCTCTCTCCTGCCACCATGTGAAGAAGGTCCTTCTTCCACCATGATTATAAGTTTCCTGAGGCCTCCCCAGCCATGTGGATCTGTGAGTCAATTAAACCTCTTTCCTTTATAAATTACTGAGTCTCAGGTATGTCTTTAAAGCAGTGTGAGAATGGACTAATATAGGAGTACTCATGAGATCTATACTTGAGAAAGGGAGAGAAAGAAAGAAAGATGAGGCAGAGGTAGAATTTGGAGAGTGATACAATTCAACAGCAACCTTAGCTGATGTCATGAGATGGGATTGGGATGACCCTTTAGAGTTGTTCAGAGTTAGGCTAGGGAAATGGGCCTTTATAGAAAACCTCCACGCTTATTTCTTGATCAGCCATGGTGTGAGATATACTCAGAAAGGGTCCATAATCTAGATGGAGGCAGCTCTGTCAGTTGAGGTTGTCCCTGAAGAAGCTGACAGCCACGGGCTGTCATCATCAGTCAGTTCACCCAGCAGCTTAGAGAATGATATCTGCATACCTGAAAGAGGACTTGGGTGGCACATTGCAATGTCTAGTAAGTACATATTTTAATAGACAATTCAGTGAAAAAGCATGAAAAAATAACTTTACCTTCAACTATAGTATCTTATGTGGCTGTTACCAAGACACTACCATATACCTAGGGATGATAAATTCTAATTTCATATTCAGTATAACAGAAGAAATGAACATATTCGATCTATAGTGCTCAGAAATGTCAGAAATGAATAGTTCAGACTTGTTTACTAGAAATCCAAGTTTTGATATTCACATTCACACAATTATTTTAATGCACTATGGGTGACATTTGTTCCTCTTTTCTTCCACTGATCCATTATTAGGGCACTGGGTCAATTTTCACCAGAGTAAAAAAATCTGCTTCCCATTTTGCTTTATTATTATTATTATTATTTTTTAATCAGTAAAGAATGTTGGTAAAGAGACCAGACAGCTTTGAGTTTGTGAGTATAGGAAATGGGTGTTTTGGATCTGTGGTGGGTAAAATCATATTTGCATGGGGCTTCTCAGCTCAAGCATACATACTACCCTGTATTCTTTTGCTTCTTCCACAGGTGAATGGTTATTTCCATTCTTGAATGCATCATTAGTTGGTAGACAGAATGGGTATTAAGCTCTATTAGACATTTTCTAAAATCAAGGGCTACTTCTTTCTTTTTGATCAAAACAAATTTTTGATTCTTTTAAATAAAAGAAGAGGGAATGCGTTCACAAAATTGAGAAATTTAGATACCTGCAATCTCTTTTATTTGTCTTACAAAGAAATTGTACAGAAACATTCAGATGCTGCTCTTCTGTTTCAGTCCTCTCCTTTTTCAATGAATTATATTTTTCTATGTCTGTGCAGAACTAGAGTCTTCATGTTTTAGGGTTGGACGTTATCAGGCATCTTCCTCAAGGAGAGGAGGTTTATGACCTCTTTCATTACAGAAACATTAGCATGGTGATGGCCAAGCATCACTCCATTACTTCTTTGGAGGAAGGTGTGAGGGACCTCAGCTGTTCTTTAGGGGCAACATTAAACAGCATTACATAAACTTCGCAAAGCAGCAAATGCTCTTGTCACAACATACATTTATAAAGGTTAAACATGTGTGTTCTATTATGGTAAAATATAACATGCAATTTAACTTTCTGAGAGAGCTGTATGTAAATCTTTTGAAGCTTACTTGGGAGTAATGGCTAACAGCCTAGAATCATTGTTTTTATTTGTTTTTCTCAGACAAAAATATTATTTTATTTGTAAAAATGTTGTATTTGTGATAGGTATTAAGGGGACATCAGGTCTATAGTATGGTATTAAGTATCTAATGAACCAGAAACTATGAGAAATCAAGAGGGAAGGATAATGATTTGTTTATTTGACAAAAGTCAAGCCCAGCTTCAGAGACCTTTATTGCATATGTGAAAATCTAAAATCTCAAAGGGCTTTGCTCACACAAAATGCAAATACATTTTGTAAAGACTTTACATAATATGTGTTGACACAGGGAAATAAAATAATTCTGTTAAGAAAAAGGGGTTTCAAAGTTTATAGTTAAGCATGTCTTAGTTGAATGTGGTTTACTTTGTAGCCTTAAATACAGTTATGTGTCGCTTAATGCCAGTGATCCATTCTGGGAAATGTGTAGTCAGGAGATTTTGTTGTGATGTGGACATTATAGGGTAGAGTGCACGTGCACAAACCTGCATGATGTAGCCTACCCCACACCTAAGCTGTATAGTATAGTCTATTGCTCCTGGGCTACAAGCCTGCACAGCATGTGACTATACTAAATACTGTGGGCAACTGTAATACAATGGTAAGTATTTGTGTATCTAAACATAGCTAACCATTGAAAAGCACCATAAAAATATGGCATAAAACTGGTACATCTGTACAGGACAGCTCCATTAAAATCATATGGGACCACTGTTGTATAGGCGGTCCTTCACTGACTGCAGTGCTATTATGTGGTGCATTACTGTAGTGGTATTATTTAATGCTCTAAGTTAGTAAATGGGATATCTTCCCATGCCTGAACTGGGCAGGATTTACAGCTGGAATAGCACACTGTTGGGAACAAAACCTCTAAATTCATTATGACAATGTTATTAAAAAAGCTTCATTTAAGGGGGAAGCTCTCTGAAATCTCCCATGACTGAGGGAAGATGAACAGGTTTGGTAGGTTTTACCATGACAGAGCTAGATGGAGGATATGAGGTATCCTGAGGGAATCACCTTTTTGGGGATTTTAGTGTTCACTGAGAGAGACTATCCAGAGATGGATACTGATATCTGCCAAAAATAACCTAATGATTATGAAGATCCAAATATGCCTAGGTTAATTGTAGCAGTAACTTGCAGTACCATCACCAGACTTCGCTTCATTATAAGGCACCCCTACTAGTGATATTGTGGAGAAGGAAGCTTCTACACTTCACCTGCCTCTGCCTCAGGCTCTCTACTTTTTGGGAATCAGAAACTAAAGATGGCCACTAATTGGAGGTGTTTTCTGGAACAGGAGAAGGACCTCTGCTTTTAGTGGGTTGGCTCTTGAGCTGCTGGGCTCAAGGACTTGGCATTACCAGAGGTGGTTAAAGAGCACTGGAGACAGATAACAAGAGTCAAGTTAAACTTGTAGTTGGATTGTGTGATAGAATCCCCACCGACATGTGCTAAATTGAAGCTCTGGGCTGAGAGCACTCCCTGGCATGAAGAGGCTGCTGGGATCACTGGGTTTTAATACTCATACATGTTGAAAGACAGAAGCACCTATTTCACAGTTTGTAACCAATTCACTTTTCTTACAACATTAATTTCAAATGTTATTTATGGAACCCAGTAGTGCTACTTAGATAGTGATTGTTGAAGTTTGTCGAGGACGCTTCTGGATCCTAAATTCCTGACCCATGTAATAATTAATGTGCTGCAATTGGTAACTGCCCTAGAGTGGAGACCAAGATTTCTTAACCTTCTGAACTACATAATTCTTTGTTAAGTGTGTGTGTTAGTGGGAAGTTGTCCTGTGCCCTGTAGGATGTTTAGAAATGTCTCTGGCTTCTATTCATTAGATACCAGTAGCACCACCCCAACCCCCCTTCCATTATGACAACAAACAGTATCTCCAGACATTGCCAAATGTCCCATGGCAGCAAAACTCCCTGTTGAGAACAACTGGTATAGACAAAACAAACACGCCCACACATATAGCACACTGTTGTTGCAGTAATAGTATGTTATAGCATTTACAGACACTAAAACAAGACAACAAAATATCCATAAGCAGTTATATAATGAGGTGTCTGCTTGCTTGCTTTTTCCTGTCAACCTCAACTCCACTGAGGGATCAGCTTAAGGAAGGTGTTGTAAGCCTGAGAGAAAGTGGCTTTTGATGACTGAGGCTTATGGTATCCTCTTAGATTTTGCACTGAATGTCTCACATGGTCTTACCTTAGTCCCAGGTCCTGCGTTTACACCTGAGTTTCAGTTGGTTTTTACTCATTCTCAGCTTGTCATTCTGTAGCACATCAATGGCTCTCAGCAATAGCCATCTAATACTACTTCCTCCATGGGTTTCAAATGCTCAACACATCACACCTCCTAAGGGGTTCACTTCCATTCGTTCACTGTCCCAATTCACCACCAGTGAGAGAGTGTTAGGAGTTGGACTTCTGCCTTGTACTGGGGGCTCTCTGGCTCCTTTTACCTTGTTGTCAGGTTGGCAGCACAGATTCCTCTCCCAAACTCCGTGACGCTTTCTCAGGTTATTTTTGGCACGAACTGTCACAGGTTGGGTTTTCTGGAAGCAAATGCTGAGATTGAATTTATGGTAAAAAATGTTTGTTAGGAATTCACAGTGAAGGACAAAAAAGGAAGGAGCAGAGTCGAGTAGTTTGCAAGCTGAACTGTGATGGAAGCTCCACAAAGCCTCCGGAAGCCCGTTGTGGTGTGGGGGATGGTGAGGAGGGGGGCACGGTGTTGCGGAATCTGAAGTAGACATTCCTCTTCAGAGTTGTCTTCTGTCAGGTTGAAAGTTCTGGGGCATTTTATTCCCACCTTGCTTAGCTTCCTGATGTGGGTGTCCTGGGAAGGGTATGACTTTGAGTGGGGCAGCTTCTCTCCAGCTTAGGTGGACCCTGAAGGAGCTGAGCATTAAAGATTGTCTGTTGACCACTCCCATTCCAGCGAGGCAGAAAGTCTCTCCTTGAAGGGAATTCTGAGTGGGCGTCTCCTGTTTTCCACATTACCATGTATTCCTTTTTTTACATCTGCAAAACCCAAGACCAGGCAGGCAGAGACAGGTCCACTCTTTCCTAATCTACAGGTGATTTCAGCATCTGTAATGATAATCTTAAAACTGAATCTAGGAGTGGATTGGAGTAAAGGACAACTGTGGCTGTACAACATCCTACTGAATTCTCTTAGCAAGTACACTCTTATCTGTGGAAAGTTAGTATGTACCTCACTTCCCCTTCATCTTTGTACTTGCCTTTGGAATCTTTTTAAAAACTTTGGTTCTCTGGCTTGTCAATCATGTTTGGCTGACTAATCTTCAATCTGATCACCCACCTTTGGGTTTATTTGATGTCTTAGGCGTACTTAATCACAATCACTGGTTCTTTGGGCCCATCTTGCTCCAGATCAGTCATCTACCTGGAGCCACCATCTCCCTGGTCATGGTGACTTAATGGGTCTCTGATTGTGCTGATGGAGCTTTTCTTGTCATCAGGCTCTAACATAGCCACACCAGGGCTCAGTTTCTCCACTGGGATGTGACATTCCCTCCTCTTCCCACCACCCTGCCCCACCCCTATATTCTCAAGTTTGAAAAGGGAAAGGATTTGATGAGCCTGACTTGCACATATACTTTTAAAAATGTATCTTTTCCTGTCAGTAGTTCTTCATCTGGCATCCAGAACATTATATTGTAAAACAGTCCTTTTAAAAGAGTATTTTTAACCCATGGGAAAGACTTTCCATTTATGGAAATTTGGGCATTATGGAAGGTTGGTGTTAGTGACTCTTCCTGGCATTTCCATATTATATTAGTAATAAGTTACTGTATAGGCTCACAAGGTGTGCTCTGATCATATTACCTAAATGAAAAATGGGAATACAATTCTGAGAGAATCAAATTCTGCCAAATTAGTTTAGGGCTTCTCTCAGATTATTTTGTATTATATTTTAAGAGAAGAATTTCTTTATATGTTTAGGCTCAGATTTTATTTTGTTGGACAATCCCAGGCTAACAGAAAAGTTGCAAGGACACTACAAAAAAGTTTTTTTGTTTGGTCTTAAACCATGTGAGAGTAAGTTGCTGGACTGATGATCCATCGCCTCTGAAAATTTTAGTTTATTTTTCCTATAAAGCCGGAAGTTCTCCTGCCTAACTACAAAGCAAGCATCAATATGATGAAGTTAACTAGGATGCACTACTATCACCTCCTCCTCAGACCACATTTAAATTTTGCCAATGGTACCAATAATGTCCTTTATAACAAAAGTATGTATAACAACAGTTCAGGATCTGCTATAATGTTTCTTTCATTTCCATCAGCCTGGAAGCATTGTTTAGGCGGTTCTTAATTTTCATAACCAGATACTTTTGAAAATTATAGAGTTACTTTATAGAATTTATCTCAATTTGGGTTTCTCTGATCCTTCATCATGATTAGATTTAGCTCGTGCATCTCTGGCAGGGATGTCACAGGAGTGATGCTGGGCTCTTTTCCTATTAATTAGCATACCATTTTGATTAGTCCCATTACTGCTGATAAGTTTGGTCAGTTGATCATGGTGACATCTGCAAGCTTCTCTGTAAAAAAAAAAAAAAATACTATGGGGGGGGGGAAATGAGTGTTTTGTAAGAAATTACTGTAGGACTATGAATAGACTGTTCCTCATCAATATTTCAATTTATTTCTATCAGTATGGATTCACAGCTTCCTGTTTTAGTCAATAGATTATAATCTGTTATTATCAATATTCATATTCAAATTGATGGCCTCTTCAAACAGCCTTCTGTTATCTTTTGACACATCTTTATCTTTCTCTGAATACTTTCTTATTTTCTGGCACAACAAGATGTTCAAGGCTCATCTGGTACTTTCCTTGCACAAGCCCTAGAATTAACCATTTCTCCAAGAAGATCTCGTTCCTCTTAGTGGAGAGTGGTATTGAGAAACCAAGATCTGGACACTAGGTGTGCCTACTGCTGTTGAGGCATGCTGCTCCCAAACCCTCTCTCTCAGTAGCTTAGAGCTAAGGAATATATGGATGAAAATGTGTATGCACATGTACTATATATTTATATCTATATCCATTTTTTTTTGAGACAGAGTTGCTTTCTGTTACCCAAGCGGAAGTGCAGTGGTGCAATCTTGGCTCACTGCAACCTCCGCCTCCTGGGTTCAAGCGATTCTCCTACCTCAGCCTCCAGAGTAGCTGGGATTACAGGCGTGCACCACCACACCCAGTTAATTTTTTTGTATTTTTAGTAGAGATGGGGTTTCAGCATGTTGGCCAGGCTGGTCTTGAACTCCTGATCTCAAGTGATCCGCCCGCCTCGGCCTCCCAAAACGCTGGGGTTACAGGCATAAGCCACTGCGCCTGGCTATATTCATTTTTATATGTATATAAAAATATATGTATATATATGTGTATATATGTATATATATGTGTATGTGTGTTTGTGTGTGTGTAATATATAAACATATGCTCACAGCAATACCTGCAATCTCAACTCAACACCATAGGATTTATTTGAGTTTTTTCTCTTTTCATTTATGTATATACTGCTGATATGGTTTGGCTGTGTCCGCAGCCAAATCTCATCTTGAATTGTAGCTCCCATAATTCCTACGTGTTGTGGGAGGGACCTGGTAGGAGATAATTGAATCATGGGGGTGGTTACCCCCGTAGTATTCTCCCCATACCATTCTCATGGTAGTGAATAAGTCTCATGAGATCTGATATAAGGGGTTTTCCCTTTTGGTTGGCTCTTTTTCTCTCTTGCCTGCCACCATGTAAGATGAGACTTCCCTCCTCATTCGCCTTCCACCATGATTTTGAGGCCTCCTCAACCATGTGGAACTGTGAGTCCCTTAAACCTCTTTCCTTTATAAATTAGCCATTCTTGGGTATGTCTTTATTATCAACATGAGAGCAGACTAATACAACTCCCCTCTCCAAAAGTGAGGAAACAGATTCCTTTTGTACTTAATATATTTATTTATTTGGTCAAAATCTTCCCTCCCTGTGCCTTGGCTCAATAGCTAACTTTCTGTCATTGCACAGCCTCTTCCTCCATAGGGAGAGCTCTCACTACCCTACTGGGCTCTTACACCCTGTGCTAGACCACACTTTACACCCTGTGCTAGACCACCCTTTACACCCTGTGCTAGACCACACTCTACACCCTGTGCTAGACCACACTCTACCCTGCATGCATACCTTTGTCACCCTATTCAGGCTACTCCAGGAGTATTGGGACCTTCCTCACCTGGACTGGATTCTGACATTCTGTAACAGGCTGACCTCTGTGTGTGGATACTTTTTTACCCTCACTGGGCTCCCATACACCATGCCAGGATGCCCCTCCTGTGGACACCCTCGTAACTCCCCTTGCCCTCTGGTACTCCCTCTGGTCATCATGACTACCTACCCACTGCCTCCTCCACCCCTGCACAAATACCGACCTTGCTCGGCCCCATCAGATGGCTTTTGTATTAGAAGAGAAGGAGAGGAAAGGGAAGAGAAGGTGGAAGAGGAGTAGCTCACTGCTTAATCATGTTTTACTGGAATTCACAGTTTCTGGTAATTGGCATTCAATCTGAGTCCTTAAGCTTAATCTTTTATAGATTTTGCCAAACAATAATTTAACTTGAGCTTGTCTATACATACGTTAACATTTCAATAAGCTTCATTCATATTCATTGACCCAAATTATAAGAAAATAAGAAAAGTGATGTGGAATAGAGCTTATTAATAGTTAAGTATGAGAACTTGTTTTCTGCAAAGGTCCTGATTTTCATGTAACTCCTTTTTCAAATCACTGTTCATGTATATATAAACATGTATGCATTTCGGCATGGGTAATGAGAACACGTAAACTCTAGAAAATCACATGATTGATCATTGACGGATACTATGCGTTTTATTTCCCAAGTAAAAGCTATCTTGAGCATGATTTTACAAATATTTACTGAAACACCTAAAATGAGAGAAATAAGCCAGTTTTTATTTAGAAATTTTACAACACGTATTTTTCAGTGTTAGGCTCTCTGCGCAAAAGAAATCTCTTTAACTGAACTATTTTGCAGCTGTTCAACAATGACTTTGAAAAGCAGCTGAAACTAAATGTCTTTGTAAAGTAACATTTTTGGAGTTTGGTTAATTTTTTTTTTCTTTAAAGACAGCTATTACTTTTTTTTCAATTTTTTAGTTTTAATTTTTGTGGGTACATAGGTATACATATTAATGGATTTCATGAGATATTTCGATATAGGCATGCAATGTGTAATAATCACATCAAGGTACATGGGGTATCCATCATGTCAAGCATTTAAGCTTTGTGTTACCAACAATCCAGTTATACTCTTAGTTATTAAAAAATGTACAATTATTTTTTACTACAGTCACCCTGTTGTGCTTGCAAATAGTAAATCTTACTCTATTTTATTTTTTGTACCCATTAACCATCCCTACTTCCCCTCCAACCACCCACTACCCTTCCCAGATTCCGGTAACCATCCTTCTATTCTCTGTCTCCATGAGTTCAATTATATTATTTATTCATTTATTTATTTTTCTTTTTTTTTATTATACTTTAAGTTTTAGGGTCCATGTGCACAACATGCAGGTTACAGAAAGCTATTACTTAATAACAAACTGGCAGTCACTAAATGTCACTTAACTTTAAATATCGTGCTTTTTATCTTCAGTGAACATAGGTGGGGGGCATCTTTTCATTTCTCCTCACACAAAAATCGATTCTGAGCAAACTCATTGAAGATTCGGGAATGAAAGGGTTTGACATGGTTGTAAAGTAGAGCAACAAAAAAGATTGACGGCAGATTTGCTTTCTAAGAACCCGCTTCTTATTCCCCTCATTTTCAAATTGAACGCCATTGAGCATTGCCGTGCGGCTGTAAAACGCTGCTTTTCCTTCAAGAAGACTCTCGCTCACCAGTTTTCTGTCAGGCAGGAACCCTATAAAGCCTCACTTAAGCTGCTTTTCCTTGCTCCCAATGCTATTTTTATGTCCCTTGTGGGATGCTGTCATCTTCAAGGCTAGACACAATTCCTTGCCACCACCACGACCAACCTGCATCCAAGACTCATCTTAGAAACACTAGTTATTTATAATTTCATAATTGCTGTTTCTCATCTCTTTTCCAAACAATTGATAGCTACTTAAGGACCAATAAATTGCTCACAATAATGAAGGCTACCATGAGAGATTATGAAGTGGTAAAAGGTGTGATCTTGGCCCTGTAATTCATCATTTAATGGGGAGACAGAGCTGACACACATACTCCAAGGGTATGTAGTTTTTAAAGATTTTAGTGTATCTGAATATTTTTATGGCCAGGCCCAATAATTGCAAGTTATGAGGCAGGAAGTACAAATGAAGGTTCACCTATAATATGTGAATTTTTAAACTATTACAGACAAAGCTAGCAAATTGTTATATAAAATATGTTTTTCTTCCTTCATTGACAAAGATTATTTTGTAATGATGAAATAAAAACATTTTTGCAAAGCTTTGGTTTTTATTTGACTGACAGTTGATAAAATACCAAAAATGACTGATTTCAGTTATTATTGAATATGCCTGATATTCTTTTAACTATTGCCTTGTTAATGTTTAGGTAACTCAATAAATATACACATAATTCATAATCCATTATATACTTACGCTATAAGATTTATTTTTATTTCTTTCATTTCATCAAAATTACTAATTAAGTATTCATAGTTACAATCTTCACATACTTTGTTTTCTAATTACAGTAATGATTTGAGACATTAAGATCATTAATATAATTGTATTAATAATGAATTAAAAATATATTTCTTAAAATATAAATCAATTTCTTCAAATAGTTATTTTATCCTGAAATATTCAAAATTACTCAAAATTATCTATCACCATAAGTGGATAACTAAAAATTATATAAATTATAGTTAAGAAATATCGAAAAAGCAACACTTAAATAAAATTAAAATTTTCATTCTTTATACAAATTTAATTAAATTTTTAAATATTTTAAATTTTTGTGGAAAATGTTCATCCAGCTGTCCTGTGAAGAATTTGTGTCATACTTCATGCCTGCTATGTCTAGTAAAGTATGTTTTTGTAAATAAATAAATTTTAGAAGAATATGAACTTTTTAACATTGCACAAAGCTTCCAGTCACTGTTGGTAATTGTTCAAATGCCATGCTAAATTATGACTACTTTCACAACTACAAATTGGATCTGCAACTGAAGCAAGAAAAGGGGCACTTGGCAGTCCTGGGAAACAATACTTTGTTATCCAAGACTCCACTGCAAGTATGCAAACTGAGAATAAAGGTGTGGCAAGTTAATTTGTCTTATCCTTTACCAAAGCCCATCTTGTGTTCAAATATCCCTGAGCTCTAAAGCAGTGTTCCTATCAAACACTGACAGTGCCACAGCTCAAGTCTTTTATGGTACTCACTCATAGTCAAATGCACCATAGGGAAGGAGAGATGGAGAAGAATTTCCCTAGGAACTAAACAGCGTTAGTCACAAAAATGAATGTGTAGGTTATGGGCTGGAATATTTAGATTACAAGCTGTCAGTACTGAGCAATGGATTCTGATTTACAGAGGTACGCACGTGTTCTTCTGTGAATGCGGTGTGTGTGTGTGTCTGTGCATGTAGGGGGAGAGAGAGAGAGAGAGAGAGAGAGAGAGAGAGAGAGGCCTCCAAAGCTCAAAATCCTAAGCAAGGACATTTCTTGCCTGAGTCTGAAGTAGTCTAAAAATTTGGAAACATCAATTAATTTAAATTAGAATAAAACTTTATAGTGAGGATGGGAATCGATCCTAGCTTCAGAGAACATAGAGGATTTAGAAAGGAAAAGTGAAGAGGGAATGAGCATTCTGGGCAGAGGTAACAACACACATACTGAGAACAAATTTATTGTGGCAAATTATAGGACCTGCCTGACTAGATAGGAGAATTTCTGCTATTGGAAAGAAATGGCACAAGCTCATGAGAATAGACACTAGATGAAAGTCAAAGGAATTTGATTTTATCCATTAGGTAATCGGTTCATGTGCTGGCAGTGACATGCTAATAGTGGCGTTTGGGGGAAGATAATAGCCAGAAGTGCAAAAGTTATTGACAAAAGAAGAAACTTGAGAGAGAACAGTTAGAAATCTACTACAATAAATCTAAGTGGGATTGATAAAAGCCAGGATAGGCTAGCCATGGGCTGCAGAAAATCGCATGCATGTTGGCAGTGTCATGGGAAGGGCATCGCCAGAGTTAGGTGTGTTTTTGTTTTCTTCCAAATTTGGATATTAAGATTAAGGAAAGGAAAGTCCTTTTGTTGATAACCTGCTAATTTCCATGTCTAAATTGAGTACATAAAAGATGTGTGGGCCGGGCACGGTGGCTCACTCTTGTAATCCCAGCAGTTTGGGAGGTCAAGGTGGGCAGATCATGAGGTCAGGAGTTTGAGACCAGCCTGGCCAATATGGTGAAACCCCATCTCTACTAAAAATACAAAAATTAGCCAGGTGTGGTGGTAGGCGCCTGTAATTCCAGCTACTTGGGATGCTGAGGGAGGAGAATCGCTTGAACCTGGGAGGCAGAGGTTGCAGTGAGCTGAGGTTGTGCCACTGCACTCCGGCCTGGGAGACAGAGCGAGACTCCATCTCAAAAAAAAAAAAAAAAAAAAAAAAAAAGATGTACGGAGGGGTTAGGGAGGAGAGGGCGTAGGGTTGATTAAAATCAGGGACAATGGAAGAAACTCTCCTTTTTCACACTTCTCAATGGATTTCACTTTTTATACTTAAGCAATTCTACTGCCTCACTTCTTTGCTAGTTTTCCTAAATCTTTTGTTTGTGTTGTCATATCCTTCATGTTATTTGGCCTTCAAGACAAAGCTGAAAGTTACAGAAGGCAAATTTGAAGAGGGTAATTTAATGGGATTGGGAATCAATGATATTATCAAGTAGCTTTTTGGCTAAGAGAAAGATGCAGAAAATGCTTAATCATTCAGGTAAAATGATTAGGCTTGGCTCAGTTTTGCTATTTTTCTAGTTTGTAACAAGCAGGTCAAGTTCTCCCCAAAGGCCTAAATCAGGAGGCGTGACATTTCAGGACCTCTGATGGATTAGATAGCATTGTTATTATTGCAGGGATAGTAGAATGTTCTATGTCAATGTGTGTGTGTTCACGCATTGTGAACCTTTCTCATGCCTGCCAAAGGGGTTTCCTTTTCAGAAGTTCAAAGATTTTGTCTGTCTTAGACTTTGAATGAGGATATGTTTAGGAAGATGTATTTCAAAGTTAGTGAGCAAATTCGTCCCATATCTTTCTCTGCCTTCCCATATTGCTTTTGTTGTTCCATAAACTGGCTAAATGGAATAGAAGATTTATTTAAAGTTCTATCTAATTTGAGATTTGTGTTATCTGTATTATTGATATTTGTGCTCAAAAAGATGCACTGTACTTTATGATTTTGAAGTAAAGCATGTTTTAGCATTTCTACTTAAAATATCAGAACACTTCTTAGGCATTAAAATGACTAATGTGCATATGAATGCATAATAATTTGTTAAAAGTGAAATGTATAGATTAGTTTTACATAAGACTAGAAAAGGAAAGGTACGTGTGTATATATAGACATATATGTACATATGCACCCCAAAGAATATCATATATTTGTGTGTGTACATTTTGTGTATATACCAATTATATATAATATGTAATAAATATATATTGTAAAATATCTAAATTGTAATATATGTATAATAGATAATGTGTGTATGTATGCATACAAATAAGACAATTATGTATAGACACCTATATACACATATACACACAAATATAAAATACATTGGAAAGAAGTTATAAAATTCTTAAGCAACTTTATTTTTATGTTGTGGTTTTCAGTAATACATTGTCTCCTTCAGGGGAGCTCAAATTAAATATACAAATATTTCTTCAGTGCCTTATGTTTAATGGGTCTGTGCTAGGCACTAGACCGTTTTATATAACCTTGTATTATATGGTATAAACTGGGGCCATATATGTTATGTTAGAGCTCTTTATGTTTAGAGAATATAAGGTGAACAAGCTTCTAATCATGACTCTTGTGTGGCAAGTTTGTGCTGTGGATTTATGCTATAGGTTGTTTATAATGGTTAAATAGATAAATTTTGAGGAAGTAGTTTTTTGTTTGTTTGCTTGTTTGTTTTGAGATGGAGTCTCGCTCTGTCATCCTGGCTGGAGTGTGGTGGCGCCATCTTGGTTCACTGCAACCTCCGCCTCCTGGGTTCAAGCAATTCTGGTGCCTCAGGTTCCAGAGTAGCCTAGATTACAGGCACACGCCACCACGCCTGGCTAGTTTTTGTAGTTTAGTAGAGATGGGGTTTCGCCATGTTGGCCAGGCTGGCCTTGAACTCCTGGCCACAAATGATCCACTGCCTTGGCTTCCCAAAGGGCTGGGATTACGCACCCAGCCAGAGAAGGTAGTATTTAATGATTACACAAAGTATAACTTACTGGCTTGTTTAAGAGAGACAAAATTTCAATTTGTTTTAGGAAGTCACTTATGAAAATGCTAACAGGTGGCCCAGTGGAAGGCTGCCCATAGTTTAAGAAAGAGTAGAGCTTGGGTTTTAGTAAAAGCCAAGTCCAGAGGAGATGGCCTTTGCCAGCCCCAGGAGAGTAACAGAGTTTAGCAGTGGGATTCCGGACTCAGGCACAATACCATAGCTAAAAGAGAACTCCTTCCAGTTTGGGAAGCAGATTCAAATTAGAAAACGAAAGACAATTGACTGAGAATTGGTGAAAGGAGAAGATTTGGAATAGGCCAATAAATATTGCAGGGTATTCCTATCAGATCTGAAGGATTATAATAAGGCAGTCTCCTGTGTAGCCATCTCTTCTCTTAGCATCTGCATGGAACATGGATCACCCCCCACCTCCATCTCCTTTTTTGGACTGCCCTGGATATACAAGAGATGTCCCCAGAAACTGTGGTTGTCTAATGAGACTTGTCCCCTTGACCATAGCTTTTCAATCCAAGTGTGGACTCCTAACCCAGGGTGAGTTAACCAGATTGACTTTCCTAGGAATGTAGAGATTGGACCTGAGCACCACTGGAACAGAAGCCATCTACTTTGTGATGGTGTCTTGATAAGTACTGTTCAGACAGTCCTGAGCTCAAATACTAATTCCAGCATATATTGAGAAGGATACGTTACCAATTGGAGTCTCACTTTTCCTATTTATAAATGGTTATAACAATATATCCCTTATAATTTTGTTGTGAGAAAATGAAATACAATATACATAAATGCTTAATGAATGGCAGTAGTACGTGCTCAGTGAGTGTTAGTTTCCTTTCAATGTATTATCCTATCGTAAGAGACTTGAAGTTTCTTTTTTTTTTTTTCTTTCGCTCTGTCGCCCAGGCTGGAGTGCAGTGGCATGATCTCGGCAGAGCAGTGAGGTTTCTTAAATTACTCTGGCAGTTTGGGCCTTGGCTATAGTCTCTTAAAGCCAAAAATAAACTTTTTTTATAATGCAAGAAAAGTAAGATGTTGCAATTGATTTTAGCAGTTGAATTTCCTTTATTTTGCTAAGATGGGACTCAATTGAAGAGAGGACAGTCCTTGAATATGAAAAAACGTGATGGCATCTGTGTGTAGGATGCTTTATAATAGCACAACAATTGAAAGAGTTTGTGCCAGACTCAGAATCCAGTGAGAAATGAACATTATTTGATTTCATGTAAACACAAGCATCTGAGCATCATGCTCTAGATTTTAGCACCTGAGCAACATATGCCTTAGTTACTAAACTGTTACTCAGCCTTCCTTTCTTATTAATTTCTGAAAGTGGAGCCAGCATTACCTAAAAAAGAAGTCAGGTGGGCCCAGAATTACAGCAAAAATATCAATGAGGGAGGATAATAAAAACTAGCAATAGATCTAAAGTGTACCTGAAATGTCAGGAAAGCAAGTTAATATAAACTGGAGACAGAGGTCAGAACTTTTGGTATAATACGTCTCTGTAGTCCTTTCACCAAAATTTTGATCTCAATTTACACAAAGATACTCTTTAATCTTTTTCATTAGTGAAAGGACAAAGTTCATCGCATACAGACTCTACAGTCTCAAATATATAGTGATTCTCTAATCTTCCCAATGACAATATTGCCCCCTAAAGATTTTTGGCTAACATGAGGAGTGAAGAGAGATAAGCCTTTTGTCTCTGAGATATGACCCTGGGAAGTTCCCCCTATTCTCCTTTTCGTGAACTGACATAAAAGCCTGGGCTGACATTTCAACAATGGTATGCAAAGGGCTAACAGTAAATATTTGGGCTTGGCTGGCTATGTGGTGGTCTAAGGAAACAATTCAAGGCTATTTCCTGACTCGGGGAGCTTTCATTATATTGTTTCACAGAAGACTGGATGATCCCCCTCTTGGGCTATAAATATAACCATATGATGCCATACATGAATATATGAAGTTCAACAGGGATAGGGTTTCCACAATGGGAGGGCTCTTCACAGCTACCCTATTCTGATCACAAAGGCATGACTGCCTCTCATGGAGTGACAATGGGGTTTTGGGATCCTGCACTCTTTGTCGTTCCTTCAGTTGTATGTTGTCATCGATAGATCTCATTGCTAAACTATGTGTCACTAGTACTGTAGGTCACCTTACACCTTGCGTGACAAATAGGTAAAGTCTCAGGCATATAGATGACATAGTCAAATGTCTACTTATATTTAATGTTTAAATTTAGTTACCCATGTTTAAGGTAATATAATAATTCAGAAATGTCCTTTAGCCTAATATTTGGGGAATAGTTGTAGTCAAACTCTGCCATTGCAGTTTTGAAAGCAGCTCCTTTGCCATCATGACAGTGGCATTTTGAACCGTCTAACACAATTGTTTCCATGCCACTTTATCTAGCTGTCTAGAGTGAGTTACTGCAATTCTAATATCTGTATATGGAGCTGTTATTGGAAATTTTTTATCAAGCTCCAGCTTTAGGACATTTGGGTTTTAATTCATTCTGAGTGTATATTTATGTGATCTCTATTGCTTTCCAACAGATCTTTAAAAGCCTTGTTTAAAATGACAACTGCAGTAGAAACAGCTAGGTTCCACAAACAATTGTGTGCTATCTTACACTGTTTAGAATCTTTACTAGAAAGTAGCTTCCTAGCCAAATTACATTTTCCAAGCCCATTCCAACTAGTTGGTCCTAGGTGACTAGTTCTGCCAGTGAAATATTAGCAGAAGCAAAGCGCATCGCTTCTGGGATAGGACTCAGAGAGGATCTGCCTTTAGCACATTATCTTTCCCCACTTGTGGGCTGGTTGGCAACTGTTTTATGTAAAGAGCCAGATAGTAAATATTTTAAGTATGGCTGGCTATGTGGTCTCTGTTGCAACTACTCCACTCTGCAATTGCATCATGGAAGCAAACGCAGGCAACACATAGACAAAAGGATTTGGCTGTGTTCTACGGGCTGTACTTTGCTGAACCTTGCTCTAGAGGTTTGTCATGGAACTAAATTAAAAAAAAATCTGGGTGCTTGAATTACTGCTGGAGGAACATCTCTGGACATCTAGGAGTGACTGCAGTTTGTTATTAACTTAGCAAGACCTAAACATTCGTTGTTTTAAACAACGAATATTTGGGGATTTGGAAATATATTTGTTCCAGAATCTAGCATTGCCCTAATACCAAATCCAACAGAAGACTTGGAGATATGTCTACAGGAATTATTACCAAACGTGAATTGTATTTTTTGTTAGCTAAAAAACAAACCAACCAGATTCTATCTATTTTCAGTGCTCAAAACTGGAACATTGTTTTAGACCAATATATTTTCTCCAAACGCGTTTACTGTTCAAAATAAAGTAAATGACAGTGTCCTCTGTAATGTAATAAATCTTTTTAAAACTCAAATATAAGGTGACTTTTTTTTTCTGAGGGATAATTTTAGGGAAAAGTTCATTTTATATTGTAAAAGGGGTTGCTGATTACTTTTGCAGCTTTTTTTGGCACCAGGTGTTGGGAACTAAAGAATGCAATGTCAGGGAGAATTGTGTCAAAGTTTGGGTGAAATTGAATCATTTCCCTTTCTCAATAAGAATCTGTGTTTTATAATGGAAAGGACATAAACTTCAAATTTGGATACATTTTGGTCAAATATTTGGCCCACCTTTTGACAATTAATTTAACCTCTCTTAGCTCAAGTGTTTACTTAGAAGTGAATAATCTAATCTTATGGAAATGCTTTGAATATTAAATGAGATCATGTGCACATAGTGCTTAGTTAACTCTTGTTTCCCTCCAAAAGAAATCCAGTTTCTTATTTTCCACCTGAATTAGGTAATATACCTTGCTGTATGTTTCTGTAGTAAACCAGACATAATGGAACATTTAAAAAAATCTTACCACCCAAAAAATAAAATAAAATTATAAGATGAGCTACAAAGTAAGATAAAATACATTCAAAATGAGCAAGCGAGCCATAGACTGAGAGAAAAATATTCAATGTGCATATATCTGACAGGGGCTTATGTCCAGAATAAAAATATAACTCCTACAGTGAATGCTAAGAGGACAAACAAAACAAATACAAATAGGCAAAGACTTGAACACACTTCACAAAATAATACAAATGATCAACAAGCATATGGAAAAGGGCTTAGTAAGTTGTCAAAAAACATCCATAAGAAGGACTAAAGTTACTGAAAACACCTAGTGTTGCTGAGGCTGTGGCATCGTTTTGGTGGAAATGGGAAACGGTACTTTGGAAAACTTAGCAATAAAAAGGAACAAACTACTGACACATGCAATAATGTAAAGAAATAATACAATTATGCTGAGCAAGAGAAACTAAAAGCAAAGGAGTTCCAAATACATGATTTAATTTATATGAAGTTCTAGGGCAGGTAAAATTCATTTATGGAAATAGAAATCAGAACAGTGGTTTCCTCTGGTAGGAGAGATCAAGTGGAAAAGGACCAGAGAAACATTTCTGAGTAATGGAACTGTCCCGTTTCTTGATTGCTGTGTTGGTTGTATGAGTACATATATTCATCAAAACTCACCAAGCTGCACTCTCAAGATTTATGCTTTTTAGCATATGTAAACATTACTTGATAAAAGTGTATTACACAAAGAACATGAATAATTTAGACAATTTTTCCCTTATAACTATGAACTGAACACATCGTAGATACGCATAAAATCTTGTACAGATGATCATTTTCAAGTCTGATTCAGTTACGGTATTCTAGATTTGTTCTTTTCTCCTAAAATGAATTTCATTGCTTATTCTTTCGTTATGTTGCTACTTTCATTTATGATTAGATTAACTGGTTCCCAATAAAATCTAAAAACTGCATCTTATTTGTTTAAGACATTAATTTTCATTATTTGAAATGCATCATTTTATAATACATATTAAATATGTATACATTTCACTATTTTTATTAAAAATCTGTATTTGTAAAGTGTTTTCCAAATCATGTAAAAATGTGCAGTACATTTTCAGTATTCTGCAAATCATTGACCAATATGCAATTATATAAAATTTACAGATCTGATGTTAAGGAAAGAAGGTAGCTGAAATGAACGCATTAGTTAAGGACTATAATCTTCAAATCAAAGAGTCACTGAGGGGATAAAAATGACTAGGAAAGGATCCCTGCTGTTATTTACTTTGAATACTTTCATAATGTTTAATCTCATATTGCCAAACAGAATACCTTATATTCATTTTTTAACCAAAATTTCCTGTTTTGATGGTGATAATAAACATATAAACTAAGAACTAGATATATTCTCATTTAGGATTAAAGCCTTTGGCCTTTTGAACAGTATCTTGGTAACTTTTGGTATAGTCTTGTGGTGGGTAATTTTATGTGTCAACATGACTGAGTAAAGCAATGCCCAGGTACCTGCAAAAACAGTATTTCCGGGTGTGTCCGTGAGGGTGTTTTTATAAATTAGCATTTGAATCAGCAGACTGAATATAGAAGATTTACCCTCACCGATGTGATGTGGTGGGCATTATTCACTCTGTTGAGAGCCCAGATAGAATAAAAAGGCAGAAGGAAGAGTGTATTTTCTCTCCCTGCTTGATTTGGAACATCTATCTTTTCCTGTCCTAAGACATCAGAACTCCCGGTTCTTGGGCCTTTGGCCTCTGGGTCTGACACCTGCAGCCCCCCATGTTTCACCCTTCTCCAGCTTCAGACTGGAAGTTACATCATCATCAACTCCCCAGTTCTCAGGCTTTCAGTCTCTGACTGAATTACACCACCAGCTTCTTGGTTTTTCCTCCAGCTTGCAGATGGCATGTTGTGGAACTTCTTGGCCTTCATAATCATATGAACAAATTCCCATAATAAATCTCTTCATATATATATTCTCTTGGTTCTGTTTCTCTAGAGGACACTGATTAACATAGTTTTATCTGTCAGCCATGCCTCATGCATACAAAGAAGACACCTATTAGATATGCGTTAAATGAACAAAGGAGTAAATGCTTCTTCCGATTCCTTGTAACCTTAACTATCTCAGCACCCACACTCTTCTGGGCTTGCCTGACCTGCAGTGAGGTGCTATGCTTCCTTAAACCACTATCTTGATATGGTGTAATGTGGGGGAAACAGAGTTCATTTACTCTGTCTCCAACTTTTCTGGTCTTCATAATTGTTCACCCTCTAAGAATGAGGGAAAATTAATTTTTAGGTAAGTTAGGTTTAAAACTGATATGGTTGGATCTGTGTTCATGCCCAAATCTCATGTCGAATTGTAATCCCCAGTGTTGGAGGTAGGACCTGGTGGGAGATGACTGGATAATGGGGGCAGAGTTCTTATGAATGGTTTAGCACCATTCCCCCTTGGTACAATAGGGTGAATGAGTTCTCACAACATCTGGTTGTTTAAAAGTGTGTGACACCGTTCACTGCCCCCCTTCCTGTTCCTGACTGTGTGAAGTGATGGCTTCTCCTTTATTTTCCACCATGATTTTAAGTTTCCTGAGGTCTCTCCAGAAACCATGCAGATGCCACCATGCTTCCTGTACAGCCTGTGGAACTATGCGTCAATTAAACCTCTTTATAAATTACCCAGTCTCAGGTATTTATAGCAACGTGAGAATGGACTAATACAACAACCTATCTTGATGCAATAATTTAGAGAGTACTTTTAGGATGGAGATTCAAAATATTTAATGATTATTATTGCACTGACCTGAACTAATAAGAGGGTCTTCCTGAATCAACAGAAGAGATGCTCGTCCTCCACAGCCGTGTAGCTGCAATAAGTTAGGGAGGGGAGGGACAACTGAACACCGCTCCTGTCTTTCAATGGTGTTCACTGTCTTTACGTAAAAATATTTAGGTTCTCAGATTTCTATCACCATCCTTCTGCTCTCCACGATGGCATTTTGTATTTGGGTTGTATGGAGAAGGTTGGGGAATCTAGGAGCTTACATTACATTGTGATGTCAGAGTAAATGGGCACCATGGACCACATGCTGGTTCTTGATAAAAATGAATTTTCTGGGTTTTTAGCTGGTGTCTTTGAGTTGGGATAATTTTTCTTGGATTATTCAGGAATCAGTGGTCTTCTGCTGATTCAGCAATTCAGCATTGCCTCAACGTTGATAGTGAGGACCCTCTCCAAGTTCTGTTTCTTCTTTGGCCAGGTAGGGCCGCTCTGTCAAGGTCCTCAGCCACACTTGCACAGATTTCTGGTCTTATTCACATATTATGGTAACAAAAGACAACTTGGGTTCCCTTTGGATAAATAAAAGTTTTCAGCAGCATCCTTTGATGGGTGGTACCAGAGTAGGTTGGAGAGCAATGGCCCTCCATGCCTGTGTGTTTGGAGCAACCGAAATGGACCAAGGAAAAAGCTTTTTGCCTTTGCAGTTCTTCTCAAATATCTGAATGTTTCTCAAGTCATCCCTTTCTCTCAAGGCTGGAGGAAGTAAAACAAGGAGAAAATGAGACCCTGTGTGCCTTTCTTTCTCTGTCTCCCCTCTTCAGTTTCCCTCCTTTCCCTTACTTTTCTAGAACCACATTTGACTAGCTCGTCTTTTGTTTCCAATTGTTCCTCCTATTTCTAACTTCAGCCTTACGGTTAATCAATCATGCAAGGAAGTTTGCCCATGCCAGCCTAGATATATTAAATGGCAACTCAGGGAATTTGTAAAATCCATTAAAAACAAACAAACAAACAAACAAAAACAAACCAAAAAGCAGCCAGGCGTGGTGGCTCACGCTTGTAATCCCAGCACTTTGGGAGGCCGAGGTGGGTGAACCACGTGAGGTTAGGAGTTTGAGACCAGCCTGGCCAATGTGGTGAAACCCCGTCTCTACTAAAAATACAAAAATTAGCCGGGCTTGGTGGCACGCACCTGTAATCCCAGCTACTCAGGAGGCTGAGGCAGGAGAATTGCTTGAACCTGGCAGACGGAGGTTGCAGTAAGCTGAGATCGCACCACTGCACTCCATCCTGGGTGACAGAGTGAGACTGTCTCAAAAAAAAAAAAAAGAAAAGAAAAGAAAAAAGAAAAAAAAAGCCATCTTCTAACTCTATTATCTTATTTGCTCTGTTATGCTGTCTGCTCCTTATGTTAGTGCTTCCTACCCCTTTTTAAAATTATCCTTCTCTAGAGTCATTTTAGATTCTTTTTCCCCTGATCCGGTTTCCTTTCTAAGGTTAGTGTCTCCCCTTGTAGTCCAGATCCCATCCTTCCTTGCATACCCATGGACATGACACTTTCTATTCTCTCCTCTCTTTCTTACATCATTAATTTTTGTGTTTAGTGGAAAATTCAAATCAACATATAAACATAAGGTTAACTTCTGATCTTTACAAATCCTTCTCTTAACCCCAGTTTCTCCTGCCAGTGCCTCATTCCTTTGTTTCAGCAAAACATTTTCAAAGGGCTCTATGTTCTCTGTATCTCCAGTTTCCCACTCCTTTGTTTTCTCTCAACCCAAATCGGACATTGTCTCTACTTCTTCACTGAACATTCTGTTTCTTTTAACTGGAAAATCTCTTTCTAATATCTCCAGTGACTTTCTTCTCACCAAATTCAATTGTCAAATGATCAGTTTTCCCTGCAATTCACTGATTGGTCCTTTTCAGGCTTTTTTTTTTTTTTTTTTTTTTTAAATTGGATCTTCCCTTTCTTGCTGACCTTTTACTATTGGGCTCAACTTCTAATCTTCTTCTCCTGTCTATACTTACTCCTTTGGTGATCTCATCCAATCTCATCTCTTAAGCCATCTATATCACAGTAAGTCCCTAAGTTATATTTTAAACCTGGATCTCTATAATTAGCTCAACACTTAGGTATCCAAACTTGAATATCTAAGCTTAATGTCTCCATTAGGTGAAATCCCAAACCTGCTCCATCCACAGCCCATGTGATGACAACTCCATCCTGCCTTATGCTCAGGCCAGAACCTTGGCATCTGCCCATGATTCTTCTCTTCTCTGACATACAATGTTCTCTCTCCTAGGAAACCCTGTTGGCTTTACCTCCAGCATAAATATAGAGTCAGTCACTTCTCAGTCATCTTATCTGAGATTATTGCAAAAGTCTTTTGACTTATACTCTTATTTCCCTTTTTTACCTATGATAGCCTGTTCTCAGGTACATCACCAGAGTGATTATTTAAAATGTAAATCATGTTACTTCCATGCTCAATATTCTGTAAAGTCCCCCATTTGAGAGTTAAAAGTGAAATTCTTGGGCCAGGCATGGTGGCTCGCGCCTGTAATCCCAGCACTTTGGGAGGCCGAGACAGGTGGATCACGAGGTCAGGAGTTCAAGACCCGCCTGGCCAAGAAGGTGACACCCCATCTCTCCTAAAAATACAAAAGTTAGCCAGTCATGGTGGTGGGCACCTGTAATCCCAGCTACTCAGGAGGCTGAGTCAGAGAATTGCTTAAACCCGGGAGGCGGAGGTTGCAGTGAGCTGAGATTGTGCCACTGCACTCCAGCCTGGGTGACAGAGCGAGACTCTGTCTCAAAAAAAAAAAAAAAAAAGTGAAATTCTTAGAGTGGACAATAATCCCTTCTCTGACCTGAACTCTGGTGTCTCTGATCTTGACTCTTCCTCACCTCCCCTCATGCCGTTTGTCCTAGCTACATGGCCTCTTTGGAAGCTCCTCAAACAAGCCAAACACTCTCTTGCCTTATGACTTTTGTTTGGCTATTTTTTGTGCCTAAAAATATCTTTTCTCAAATATCTGCATGGATAACTCCCTCGACTTCAAATATTTTTTCCTAAGTCACTTGAAAATTGCAGCCTGCATTGACCATCCTACTTAAAATTGCAACCTGCTCACCACTCAGTGCCCCTCTGCTCCTAATACCCCTTCCACTAGTATTTACTTTTTCATTACATTTTTTACCTTCTAACATATTATGACAAAGACCCTCAGTGCTCATTAACTAGGTGCTACTATAGATTTTCCAGCTCTTATTGTATTAGCATAGGGGCATGCAACCACATTTGGCCAATCAAATGTAATCAGAAATAAGATGTGTTATTTCTTAGCTGAGGGAGTTTTTGCCGCCTCTATTTTTATCTCCTTTTGCCTCTCAGCACAGTGACTTCAGATGTCACTTTTTCAGATGATACATTCACAAGACGGATGCAGGAACCCAGCATATAACAGACTGTGCTGAGGGAAAGTAAACCTTTATGGTTATATGAGTAACTATATTAAAACAATTCTACAGCATATTTATTATGTTTATTTTTATTGTCTCAGCTAGAATATTAAGTACCATTATGATGAGCATTTTTCTTTCTTTTGTTTATTGGTTTAGCCTAAGTGCCTAGATCAGTGCCTGGCACATAGTGGACACTCAATTAGTATTTGCAGGATGAATGAATGAGCTGGAAAAAGTGTATTTTTTGCATTTCTCTCCCTGGCTCTGACAAGCTCTCTGTGTCTTTTTTCCCCTTAGCTCATGTGGTTTTATTTAATGTAGTCATTTGATTAAGTCAGAGAGGATCCTCTTCTGGAGGAGATTAGGATATTTGCAATGGGATGTAGAGGTGAAGGAATCCATAGGTAATTTTACCTTTCTCTCTCTCTTCCCTTCACACAAAGTAAGCAGCTCTCATCACACTGTCGATAGGGTTGTTTGGAATGGGGCCACAACAGACCTTCCACTGCTGAACTAACTACAGATCAACACCCAGGAGAATTTCATACTCCAAACTAAATCATTTTCTTGCAGCAAATCCCGATTCCCTACTTGTAGCATTGTACACCTAGGCGAAATGAAATGCACGTTTGAAATTCTATCACAACAGCAGCACAAGGTTTATTGGAAAGCCTCCCCCGCAGTTGCATGAACTTGTTGGCTCGCTGTGAGGGGCACTGCCTGCTGCATCAGCTTCGCTTCCAGCCGCGACACAGCTGCTGTGTCCTTCCAACTTCCACACTTCGGCGTCTGGCAGCCTGCAGTGTGGGAAGTTGACTTGAGTTTTAGGCTGTTACTGTGGGTAGTTTCTAGTAACTATTCAACTCGAGAGACTGAGATCTTTGTGATACCATTAGACAACAAAGCATCCCTAACCTTCTGTTTCCTTAATGATGTGAACTTTCCTGCAAAAAGGTGTATACTCTCAGGGCCATGATGAGTAGTAGTGATACTTTTTCCTATATTTGTATAATACATGATGAAACACTTTCACATGGATTATCACTTTTGGTCCTTGGACCAGGGCCTAGCACAGTGCCTGCAATATAGTAAATGCATATATATTTGTTGAAGACATGAATAACAAATAAGAGGCTTTTAAACAGTAACTGTAAACACAGAATGAAAGGAAAACGCAAAGACACCTTTAGCCTTCAGATCTTCTGCTTCATTATGCGAGCCCTGATAAAATGATTGGGAAGGATTATAGGTATGTACAGTGGGTTCAATAGCATTTAGAGGCATTTTTGTTATTGTTATTGCTGCGGTTGTTTCTTCTCTTAGAAGACAGAAGTCATTTTGGAGCAGAATTACTTTGCTCTGGGAAGCATCCCTCGAGTGGACCGTGTTAGTTATATAAGAAAGAAACAACATTGCTTTGAAGGAATGATAGAATATTACCTTTTTCTTTGTTTTGACCTGATGCTTACTGCCTTTTCCAATTGCTCTATGTATTTAAAGCTTCTCCTTTGGGAGAAAGTAAACCAATTTGTTCCTAAACGGAAGAGAATTGAGCCCTCCAGTCTTTCTTTTTTGAGATTCACTGCATTTAGCCACTGCTGAAGAGATGTTTCCAGCCTAAGGCTGATGATGCTGGGGAAAGTATAGGAGGCCCTCAAGAGGGAGCTCACGGTGAAGGCAGAGTACAGCCTTCTACACTGGTTACCTGGGTCTCAACATTCAGACCTAGCCTGTCTTGAGGGCAGAAGCCCCTGCAATCCCAACCCCCTGGCATGGAGGAGGGAAGCTTTGGAAACTAGGTAAATTTAAACTAAACTAGTGTTGCCTTGGGAAGCAAAGTATAAAACAACAGCGAGCCCAGCAGTCTAATACCTATCCATTGGAAACTCTGCTCCTTACTCCAGTTAACAGAAGGCTAACCCCAGATCTGATGGAAACGCAGGCTGAGATTGCAGAGAAAATATCATTACATGTGCATGATGGGAACCTTTCCAGCAAAGTGCTTTTCAGGGTGTCCCAGTGTAGAAAGTGGGATTTCACTTGAAAGGTGCAGGCTGTGGGGGAGTCTTTGTGCCTTCTGGCTAATAAATGTACATGGTGTAGAATAATTTATTGGAGACTTATTTTGTCTCATACCATTCGATCATAAGCATTTTGAGCATGTATATGAGGAGGCACATAGCTCCTCTCTCCTTATAATTACTGGAGGAGACTCCTATTTCACAAAACAACCTGTCAGTTGTTGGAGGAACAAATTGGCTCAGGTCAGTCTGCAACAGATATTACAGGAAAATTACAGAACTTCTTCAAGAGCTTATCTATGTAGGTTACCACAGGTCAGGTACAAAAGACACTATGCAGATAAATTAAGTTAGTGAATACATGGAAAATATTTGTAACAGTGCCCAGGTACATAATAAGTTCTATAGATATTAAGGAATTTAATAATCATGATTGGACTCAACAGCAAGGAAGAAAATATGGGTTGTGGTGGAAGGATGTAATAGTAGAATCTAACCTGGCGCATGAATCAGGGACAGTTCTTCTCAAAAATTGAAGCTATTAGATTAGTTTGCTAAAGAGATGTGGAAATAGCACCCCATGCTGAAGATTCTGGGGGGTTTAAGAGATGTCAGGGATTGCTGGATTAGCAAAAGAAAGGCTGTGAGATATGGCTGGAGAGCCGTGTTCAGGATTTTTGGCTTTATCCAAAGGGAAATGGCTAGATACGTAAAGAATGATGCTGGTTAATGTACACTTTAATGAACTATTACTTTTCTATAAAAATATAATTTGGCTCTAGTGGGTCAAAGTGTTTGTGTGTGTGTGTGTGTGTGGTCTCGTCTCTGTGTGTGTATGTGTGTAGTGGGGGAGGGTAGAAAAGAGTGGATATATGAGTCCAATCAGAGATCTGTTACTAAAATCCAGGCAGCAATAGATGGCAACTTGCACCAATAAGGAGGCTGTAGGTTGGAGAGAAGTGAAGGGACTATGGATAAATATCTAGAAAGAAAAATTCTAAATAGTTGGTCATTTGATGGAGGTTAGGGAGGAATGTACAAAAAGAAAGAATGCCCCAAAATCATCGTTCCCTGGTCCTATTTAAATGGTGATGAATACTAAAACTGAAAAAGGTATCAGGGAATATCTGGTACAAATTTCTCTTTAATTATAAAGAAAATGATATATCTCAGATTAGTAAAGGGAGCTCTTCTTCTGCATGGATCCAATTGTTTAGTGGCAGAACCTAGACTGGAACCAAAGTCAGCTGCTTGCTTCATTACATTTCCTTTACTGAATGAACGGAGGTGGCATCTTCTCTTACATCCTAATATTCACTTATGGCTACTAAATAATTTTCCAAATATACATGTAAAGGCACATTGGAGTGTTTTTTCAACAGTAAAGTCTTAACATACTTTTTCTTTATACCACAAACATTTTTAGTTGGGTGTAATCTTGCTTAACTAGAGTTGAGTCTAACTGATTTTATTTTCCAGCTTTTGGGAGAATCCGCAGCATTGCAGAAACTCAGACGTTAACACTAAAACTTTAGTATTTCCATGCTGCTAATCTGAGTAAATGCCAAGAACTTTTCTTTAGAATTCTTTTTCAGATAATTCAGGCTGAATACAATCTACTATAAGTTTAATCAAGGGAAACCAAGGGAAAATGAAATAAATGTTGCTATTCAAATGGCAGCATTTAGATAAAGGACTGCGTAAACATGGACATTTAATTTTACTGAAATTTAAATGAGTTTACTACTCATTGGATATAAGGTCTGTCAATTAAGGCAGGAGTGCCTTGTAAATCCTGGATGAATGCATATTTGCCACATACAGTTGTAGCTGACAACAGTCCTTTGTACAAAATGAAGAATAAATCTAAACCAATTAAGATACTGTATATGTAATTATGAATATTGTAAATGAAATGAGGTGACTGTGGATTTTGCATTTTAGCATGTATTAGAATGATATTTCATTCATTCTTGGTAACGTTTTGCTGATTATCCCACTCTACTGGAAAACCTGCTGCTAACTAGTCATCTTTCAGACAGGTTAATAAAGCCCTCAATAAGGAGATATTATATAACATTGGATGTAAATCTAGCCCCGTTCACAGTCAAGGAAAGTAGTTAGGAGGGCTTTTGGGATACTAAGATGAAGATGCAATTTTTGTATCAGTGAAGTCACAATCTTGTGGTGGGGGGAGACAGACACCGAAATGAATTATGACAACTGCTGTTAAAATTTAAAAAGTACAGGGCCGGGCGCAGTGGCTCATGCCTGTGATCCTTGCACTTTGGTAGGTGGAGGCGGGTAGATCACTTGAGGTCAGGAGCCTTACCAACATGGTGAAATTCCATCTCTACTAAAAATACAAAAATTAGCCGGGCATGGTGGCAGGTGCCTGTAATCCCAGCTACGCAGGAGGCTGAGGCAGCAGAATCGCTTGAACCCGGAGGCAGAGATTACAGTGAGCGGGGGTCATGCCACTGCACTCCAGCCTGGGTGACAGAGCGAAACTCTATCTCAAAAAAAAAAAAAAAAAAAAATTACAGAGACTGTAATTAATTCTAATGTAGGGGGTTTGGAGGATTCTGAGCTGGGTTTTCAATGATGGAAAGCGTCTTTCAGATGGTGAAATCACTACAACTTTCTTAAATCACCTTTTAACAAAAGCAGAAAAACATTTCTTGAGAGGCAATCCAGGTTATCCAGATAACTCACATGCTGTTAAGAAAAGTTACCTAGAACTTGAAAAGAAGGCAAAAGGAAGAATGCTTGTTTTCTCAATGTTGCAACAGAATATTGCCTTATTTAAATCTTTTGGGAATGTACCTTTGTTTTGAACATCTGTTTACTGTCAATTGGGAACAAACCTATGTACAATTACATGTTGTTAACATCTAGACTTTATCCTGTAGAGGTGAAAGAAATTTTTGTTCATCAAAATGATGACTCTGAAGGTTGCAGCTTTTTTTTTTTTTTTTTTTTTTTTTTGAGACAGAGTCTTGCTTTTTAGCCCAGGCCGGACTGCAGTGGCACAATCTCGGCTTACTGGAAGCTCCGTCTCCCGGGTTCACGCCATTCTCCTGCCTCAGCCTCCCGAGTAGCTGGGACTACAGGCGCCCGCCACCGTGCCCGGCTAATTTTTTGTATTTTTAGTACAGACGGGGTTTCACCATGTTAGCCAAGATGGTCTCCATCTCCTGACTTTGTGATCCGCCCGCCTCGGCCTCCCAAAGTGCTGGGATTATAGGCGTGAACCACAGCGCCCGGCCTGAAGGTTGCAGCTTTACAGCCCAGCAGGACACGTGACCTCACATATTTATCCAGCATTCTTTCTTTCAGTACCTGTATATTCTCAGTCTTTCAAATTTTGCTTTGAACCAGTTTTACCATTCTGTGGGTTTTGTCATTAATGAGTTAAATATATATTTGATATATCTGTATTCTATATTTGAAAAAGTCTTGTTTTAAAATTTTATTTTTAGCCAGGGTCTGTCTATGTGGCCCATGCTGGAGTGCAGTGGTGCGATCACGGTTCATTCCAGCCTTTAACTCCTGGGTTCAAGTGATCCTCCCACCTGAACCTCCTGAGTAGCTGAGACTACAGGCACATACCACCGTGCCTGGCTGAAAAATGTTATGTTTTTAATTTGTTAAATATGATAGTTGCATAATGCATACACTGGAATTAATAATTTTTGAGACACCCATTCCATATACCTGTTGGTACTCATGCCATCAAGCAGAAATAATTTTGTCATCCTATTTTTGTGTCCTATTTACTCCCTTAGGTCTCTGGAAAAATTGTAGAGAAATTATCAGTCCTTCACCTGACTTTAAAGGACCCTTCAGTTTGTAGAAGGGGCTCAGAAAAAGAGCTGATGCAGGTCTTGGCACTGTGCCAGTCATAGATGAAGGTGAGAGTGAATATGCCTGTTTTGGAACTTCCTTTATTTTGTTTGCATATCCCCTTCAAAACATTCTCCATTTATTACCTCTGGAAGTCAGAATAGAGAACTATTTAAAAGATCCATCCGTGTTGCTTAAGCTCTGTGTTCCCATAAAATAGCTGGATCTGAGCCTAAAATATGGATTTTTAAAAATCCACTATGGATGTCTGCTTGGACTAAAATGACAATACATTTCTTGGGGGAAAAATAGATAGCGGCAGAAAGCCTCCTCTGATCTGCCAAAGAACAAAAATGGCACCCAAACCCTTTTGTCTAAAAACATGATGTCTTCTCAGGACTTCTGTGTACTGTTTCTTGTTGTTCCCTATTTTTTAAAAAAGCAAAAGGTGAATTGACAGTGTCTACCCTGAATGTGCACCGTATTAAGCATTGCATTTTCATATGTATATGAATGTATGTTTCATTTTATCCTCAAACCTAGCTTGTGAGGTTCATATCATTTTTTGGAAATGATATGCTAATTGTCTTGAAATTGTCTTGACATTTTTTGTCTTGTCTTGAAATCTGAGATTGCTTGTCTTGAAATTTAGGATGATATATTTCTTTATGAAGCAGCTTTTCAGGAATGACTCATCAGTAATCTCGTTCAAGGCTGAACCCTGTTTGTGAGGTTCACAGTTTGCACATTTTCTACCTTTTGTTGTGGCCTCAGATGTGAGATAGCCAGTCTGAAGTCAAGATACAAGCATAAATCTTTCTCAGTTAAAAACAATTCCAATATTTTAATGGAAAAGCATGCCAAAAAATTATTACATGAGGCATGTACATTGAAATTCTCCCCACTACTACTTTCTCCTTTTTCTCACAGACTTCATTTTGCTATTCAAAGCAACAATTTGCTCAGGGCTCATTTTATTAGCATTTGGGTTGATAATGTACAGTATGCAAACTAGATATGAAAGCCACTGTTGCAAAAAAAGAAAAAATGCCCATCTAATTTAGGAATCTGATCTCTATTTGCAGTTGCTCATCCATGTCACACTGCCCAACATGCGTCCGTGGGCCAGATGCATGATGCCCTGCAGAGTATCGTAATACTGAGTTGTTAATTTCATAGTCTACTATAGCATCAAAGAATGGCAGAGGCAGCTCACAAGCAGGAGAAGACAGCTAGCTGTGAAGCAGTTAAATGACTGTCTTCCCTTGTGAATGGTAAAAGAAATCTTTCTGAGGCAACTGCACTGACTTTAGAACTTGAATATTTATGCTACAGAGGAAATCAGCCATAAATTTACATTTTTAGCAGCTAGGTTATTGTAGGGAGGGAAAGGAAGAATAATAATTTTAAAAAAGGAATTGGACAATACAATTAATCCTTCACAAAATCTGGCCCAACTTTAATAGATAATTATTGAAAATAGAAGTCCCTTTGTTCCTAATTAGACAAATAATTGTGTTAATACAAATTGTTCTTAAATCTATCTTTAATCAAATTTGTTCAGTGCTTAACACTCTATTATAGCAACAGCTTATTTATCTGTGTCTGTCAGGGAATTAGTTGTTCTACATAAGTGAATTTCACCGATAACTGAAACATACACCCTCAGGTGCAAAAACATTAGAAAAATGAACCATTTTGATGAAAACACTACTAAAATGCATTATGCAACACCTGCTCTCTTAAATAGCATATGTCAAATAATTAATGCTTTTTCTTAATGTAGCCAATATTTTCCCAAAACTAACAAATAAGACCAGAAATTGGGCAGGGAATAAAAATGAAGGCTCCTCAAATCCGCCACTGTTGCTGGTTTTGCAATCACAGGTGTTTCTGTCAGTTCCCCGAGTCGTTGTCCTCTGCAACTCTCAAGCTGTCCCTGCTGCTCTGGAGGCAAGATGTCACTGAGGTGACTGTTGCCCACGGAGGCTTCATGGCTGGCCCCTGCTTCTGCCACTGTGAGTAAGTGAAGGCTGTGATACTCGTTGCCCCTGGAGGCCTCACTGACTCCAGAACCACTTCATGTGATGTCTGCAAGCTCCTATTGTGGTGGTCACATCTCTGAAATTACTCTTTAGAAGCAGGGAGAACATTTTTCCTCTCCTTTGACTTACTGTGCTTTTGAGGCCTTACAGAGATTTTGTGTGGAAACAAGTCTCTCTTTTCTTACTTCCAGCCAAATCATTCCTTAAGAATAGACAAGTTACTGGGGACTTGGCTGAAGGACAACATGAACAACAGACACTATGGGGTGCCTCAAATAATTTTTTTTTTCTTGGAGGCTTCAAGATTCTTTCTTAAAATAGATAATCTGTGTGTACCTCACCAGCCCTCCTAATGTGCCCTCACATGGCTGAGTCTCAGTGGGAACACAGCTTAAGCTCAAGGCACTAGGGCAATATCTGAGAGACACTCTTTGTGACAAATTGACTTTTCCTGGATAGCTAACCAGTGGTTAGATACTGAGCTCCTTATTACCTGGCTGTTGCTGCCTGCCTTTTCTAACCCCCCCAAGTCTAATTGGCTATTTTCAGTTTATTATGATCTGACAGCACAGCTAACCAAGGTTGGTGGTTCCTTGCATAAAACATGAGTCTATGAAGTATAATGAAAGCCCTTATTGCAGTAGTCTTCAACATTTTTGAAATCATACAATTTTTAGCAGCATATGGGAAGTGATCAAAAGTTTCCCCAAACAGTTTTAAAGATTGGGTTTAACTATAACACAAATAATACTTCAGTGTAACATCTTACAAAACACCCACAAGTGTCTTTGTTCCCTTAGACTCATTTAACCACATTGCCACTGTGTTGTTTTCCTTAGAAACATTTATCTCCTTCACCGTACTTGCTTATACTTTTTCATATTCCGGTAAACATAAGACCTTTCTTTGAAAACATAGTTTTAAATAGCTCATATTTATGGAACAGGACCCACTGAGCTCCGCCTTCCATATGAAAGAGATCTCTGAAGTGGTACGATTATGACCTATGATTATAACCCATAAATCTTACACAGTGACTCAAATGTGATGGGACCACCTTATAGAGAGCCACACCAGGGTGCCATAGCACACTGATTGAGAACCATGCCGCTGCTTCTGCTGGGATGCCCTCCAAATTATTGGGTGCAGACATCAGAATTGTGCCTGTATCCTCCTGGTGGTATGTGCTCCTCAGAGGCCTGATCTACATATGTTCACCTCCTAGGTACGCTGAAATGTTGCCCAACGTTGTACCTCTAGATAAATATCATGTCTTTAGATGAGATGACATCTGAGATTTCTTCCAACCCACACAGTTTATATTATGAAGTTGGAGCGTGAAAGCTCCCATTAGATCTTTGCCACTCCTCCTCGGGCCTCTGATGCCATTTCAAAGGCATGTATTTAAAATGAGCTTGCTGTCTTGCCTTCCCTTAAATCTCTCCTCAACTTTCTCTCTACTTGCTCTGTTTATTCCCTTACTAATAATGAATAATAGTAATACTGTCTGAGTCCAGAGAAGGAAAATCTGATATATTTCTTTTCAGATCATCCTTACATAGATCAATCCTTTGATACACCAGGTTTATTATGGATGTAGGAAAAGCTGAAAAAAATATAATTAAAGCTTGAAAAAATTTCTTAAAGCCACGTTTCCCCTGAATTACCAAACATTACAAAAAGGAAGAAAAGATACACTATTTCTCTGTGTCTCTCGATATTTTCTGCTACAATAGGGAGAGCTGTGTGGATCGCTTAATGGCCAGTGTGGTTGCCATATCAGTTTCCTTGGACTGCTGTAACAAATTACAACAAACTGGGTGGATTAATACAACAGAAATGTATTTTCTCACAGTCCTGGAGTCTAGAAGCCTACATCAAGGTGCCAGCAGGGCCATGTTCCTTCTAAGAACTCTAAGGGAGAATCTTTCCTCGCCCCATCCAGGTGTGGTAGCTCCCAGTGGTCCTTGGTGTTCATTGGCTTGTAGCTTCATCACTCCAATCTCTGACTCTTTTGTCACGTGTGTGTCTAGTATGTCTTGGCCCGTTTCAACCCAGGCCAGAAGTGTTTCTGCTGTTCAAAAACCTCGTCAGTTGTCCATGTAATTCACAGGGGTCTAAGCCATCAGACAAGCAGGTCCTTTACAAAACTTTCCTGGATAACCCTATTTCTGTTTCTGGCTTCTGTTGAGATGGTTGATTGGATCCATTACACACAGGCCTATTCTCTTCAATAAAAAGTAGTTCAGCCGCACGCTGCGAGGTTGAGAATTCAATTTGTATTGTAATTTAGGCACTCATAGGATGAGTCTCTGGCTTTGGTTTTTAGAAATGTCAGCTACCACCACCTTTCAGGGCAGATGTGGAAGCTTTCAGGTAATTTATGCTGCATTTGAATTGGGAATTTGAAGTCCTGAGCTAACCCTTTCTTTTTCCTCCCTTCCTCTAGTACAATTAGGAGCAATAAACCACTTTAATTATTATGCTTCTTAGTTTAACAAAAGTATTCTAAGATATCAAATATTGCAGTCACCAGAGCTTCACATTTATAAGTATTTGATTGGGGATACCCAAGGATAGTATTTTGTATGTCTTTATTGCCAGATGTTATGGACTGAATATTTGTGACCCCCTCACCAAATCATATGTTAAAACCCTGACCACTACTGTGGCTGTTATTTGGAGGAAGAAAGCAATTAAGATTAAGTAAGGGCATAAGGATGGGGCTCTGGTTCAGTAGGATGAGTGTCCTTATAAGAAGAGACATCAGAGAGCTTGCTTTCTCTCTTTCTGTGGCATGCACCAAGGAAAGGCTGTATAAGGACATAGTGAGAAGGTGATCATCTACAAGGATGACAGTTCTCGCTGAGAACTAAATGAGGCAGAACCTTGATATTGGGCTTCTAGCTCCCAGAACGGTGAGTAAATGCATTTTTGTTCAAGCCACCTAGTCTGTGGTTTACTGATATGACAGCCCAAGCTGATTAAAACACCATAGTATGGAGTATCAGTGCCCTCTTTACCAGTGGAAATAGAGTCATTAGTGCCTTTAAGTTTTGTTGGCTTCGAGAAGAATTTCCAGAATCTCCAGAGCCAATTTAGAAACCTCACCCTTAAGACTCCATTCCTTTAGAACCACTCCTGGTACCAAAGTGTGTCTCAGTTCTTTAGAGAAACAGAACCATCAGAACCATATCTGTGAGATTCTATATAGTAAATGTATACATTTATATTATTTATGAAACATACATATAATAGACATTATATATATAAGACATGCTATATATTATATATTATAAATTGTGTATATATATATATAATTTATTTCAAGGAATTGGCTCGTGCAATTGCAGGAGATGGCAAGTCTGAACATTGTAGGCAGACCAGCAGGTTGGAAACTCTTGGGCAGGAATTGACACTTGATATGGTTTGGCTCTGTGTCCCCACCCAAATTTCATCTTGAATTGTACTCTAATAATTTCCATGTGTTGTGGGAGGGACCTGGTGGGAGATAATCGAATCATGAGGCTGGGCTCCCCCATACTGTTCTCGGGATAGTGAATAAGTCTTATGAGATCTGATGGTTTTAAAAATGGGAGTTTCCCTGGACAAGCTCTCTCTCTCCCTCTTTGCCTGCTGCCATTCACGTAAGACGTGACTTGCTCCTCTTTGCCTTCTACCATGTTTGTGAGACCTCCCCAGCCACATGGAACGGTAAGGCCATTAAACCTCTTTCTTTTGTAAATTGCCTGGTCTCAGGTTTGTCTTTATCAGCAGCGTGAAAACAGACTAATATAACATCTTAATCTTGAGGCAGAATTTGTTCTTTCTCAGGGAAACATCAGGTTTTTGCTTTTAAGGCATTCTAAATGATTAGGTGAAGCCCACACACATTATGGAACTTGAAACCAACTGATTGTGAGTATTAGCCACACCCACAAAATGCCTTCATAGCAACACCTAGAGTTTGACTGATTACTTGGGTACTGTATCCTGGCCAAGCTGAAATGTAAAAGTAACCATCACAATTGCAGAGCAGAGGGTAGAAGTGTCAAGAAAGGGCTCTCACCCCAGCCAGCCAGGCCTCCTGCTGGGCTTAAAGGGTGCCCCTCTTGTTCACTATACAGAAGAGCATAAAAAGACACTCTAACAGGTGCTCAAATGTGATCAAACTCTATCGGGAGGAAGAGAGGGAACGGTTATTATCGTACATTGACTGATAAACCATCTTGGAATTTTTTCACATAGCAATATTGCTGAGGGATTTACCAAAAGAAGAAGGTAAACAGCAAAAATCCCCACATGTGGTTTTTCTAGCAAGCATACACATGATTCTGGTTACAAATGCCTGCCAGCTTTTTCTACGAACGCAGCTCTCTGCGGAAATGTTTGGTTTAACAAGACGTACACATGCTCCCTTTTAGAGCTCTGTCCTTCCAATACGACTATTTTGATAACGGCCCACATTCTATTGATTTCCTCTGAAGGACTATGGGTGATCATTAGAAGATTTTTTAATGCGTTGGCTCCAGGCTCCCAAGAAAAATTTTCCCTGGCTTCCTATTACACTCTCCTACATTTGTACAGCAGATTTGCCTTCAAAGAGCTTTCACATCCAGTCCCTCCCGATTTTCCCTATTCCTTTCTTGTTATTCTGCTTCCCTGCATCTCTCTCTCCCTCTTTTCTCTCTCCATAATTTTACCTCCTACCTCCCTCTTGGCTTCTAGTTCGTCTTTTTCACCACTCAGCTTTCTGACTTTGACCCCCTTATCTCTCTCCTATTCTGTCATTTTTTTAAACTGACCATAATGTGTTTTTTTTTCTTTTTAGTAAATATTGGCTTAGGTTTCTTAATATATACTTTAGTGTCTGAGTAGATGGTTTTTTTTTATTTTCTATTTAAAAACGAAATTAATAATATTTTATTGATTTTTTCTTGCCTATGTCTGCCACATTCTCTTGCCTGCAGCCATGTAATAGCTTTCTGCTTTATCTTGACTAAAATCTGTGCTCTCCTGATAAGACCAAGGCTGGCTTAGACATTGGACACAGTAGCCACAGGGCCATGAGTTCATGACAATGTTAGGGGACCACAAAAATGTTTTAATTTCTTTTAATATCAGAAGAAAAATGAATATAGTTTGGTCTGGATTGTATTAATCTTTTTGCCAATATTATAATACAATATATATATGTGTCTATCTATTATATATGTGTCTATTACTGCTGTATCTTCTACGTATCTTATAGAGGAAGGGACTGACAAAGATGCCTAAGACCCATGGAAGTCACAGTGTAGGCCTGTGTGAAACAAAGTTAATTACTCTCTTATCACTTCCTGTTGCATTTAGGATAAAGACCCAAATCCTTTCATGTCAGAGAAGGCTTTTTAAACCCTTCAAACACATTTTATACCTTTGCCTCAAAATCACTATTTGATGAAATAAGCACTTTCAGTTTCTAGACAAACCTAACCTTTCCCCCTCAGAGCCTCCTCTGTCTGGAACATTCTCCTCCGACTAGTCTTTGGTCTTCTTCTGTCCATTCTTCAGGCTTCAGCTGAAGTGCTGCTTCCTTGGAGGACTCTTCCCTGCCACTCTTTTCATAAGCTCCTTTCCATAACCCCAGAACTGTAATTCGAATGGTGGAGTATTTTTTTTTTTTGAGATGGAGTCTCACTCTGTTGTCCAGGCTGAGGTGCAATGGCACAATCTCAGCTCACTGCAACTTCTGCCTCCCAGGTTCAAGCAATTTTTGTGCCTCAGCCCCCCGAATAGCTGGGACTACAGGTGTGCACCACCACGCCAAGCTAATTTTTTTTGTATTTTTAGTAGAGACATGGTGTCGCCATGTTGGCCAGGCTGGTCTTGAACTCCTGGCTTCAAGTGATCCACCCATCTCGGGCTCCCAAAGTGGTGGGATTACAGACATGAGCCAATGTGCCTGGCCCAAGTGGTGGAGTATTGGTCACTCAGTTGTTTGATGATTATTAATTTAATATTTACTCTCCCATTTCGCAGTGTGGCCTAGGAAGAAGGGCATTGTTCATTTTGATCACCACTGTAGCTCAAGAGCCTAGAACACTCCCAGGCCTGAGCTTTCAGACGATATTTGCAGAAGAAATTAATAGCTTTCAATTGATTAAATATACTAATACATTTGAGAATGTTTATAAAAAAAGAAACTAAAATGTTTCATTATATCTAAGTTTGGGGCACACTACTTCAGATTTCCTCTTCCTTTTACTTTATTATTAGAAAAGGTATTAAATACGGTGCAACTGTGAGCTAAAAGTTTAACAGCAGGCTTGGCAACTCAATGACTCAAAAACTCAAAGACAGGAAAGAAGGTTTTAAAATCTTATTAATTTTAGTTGAACCTTTGGAAATTGAATGATATTTTTTCCTTTTCTTTTCAGGGACAAAAACAACCTAAGAGGCCAGGAAGTTTATTCCTATGAAATGTTGCTTCTCCAAAGGCCATCTCAACTCGATTACACATTTTCCAAATAAAATCTCTTATATAAAAGCTTTTCTTGGGGTTTATCTTTCTCGAAAGTGATATAACTTCAGATAGAAGCTGATTTGACCAACCAAATGACTTTGACTCAGTCTTCTGGTTGATCATTATCATGTAAGAAAACTCAGGTAATTCCAGATAAACCAATGTTTTTTTAAAAATTGTTTAGTCGTTTATTTATTTATTTATTTTTATTTTACTTTAAGTTCTGGGATACATGTGCAGAACGTGCAGGTTTGTTACATAGGTATACATGTGCCATGGTGGTTTGTGGTGGGGGAAGGGGAGGGAGAGCATTAGAGCAAATACCTAATGCATGCGGGGCTTAAAACCTAGATGATGGGTTGATAGTTGAGACCAATGCCTTTTATTTGGTTTTGGCTTTGTTTTGATTCAATTGTTAAGCAAGTGTTTCTCTTGCTTAAGAGAAAAAGTATAATCTATTTTTTCCTATGAATTCCTGTTGCTGACTGTGCAACCTGATTTCGTGAAAGGCGCCCTGGACCTGGCAGATCTATGCAAAGCACACCTAATAGAACCTTGATTTTAAACAAGGCATGAATGAGTCCTCCCTGAGCTAAATGTCTCAGCTGGTTATAGGCATCTTGGACCGTCTTCCCTGCTCCTGAGACAAATATTTTTCTACACATGGCAGCTGAAGGGCAAGCTAGGAGGCACCTAACTAAGTTTGCAATATACTAGCAACAACTCCAGTATGAGAGAAGGGGAAAAGACCAAAGGGGCTTTCTTTGGTGTAAGCTGTTAACTTGTTGGAGAGATTCCAAATAATGTTTTTGAAATAATACTGTGACTTTGAGTTTCTTTGTCCTTTGAAAGTTTTGTTTCTAAAACAAAAGGCCAGGATTAATCTCAACCCTGTTGCATTAATACAAGTTGGTGAAGCCTGCTTTATCTGCAAGAAAACACCAAGTCCTACTACATGATGAGGTTAAGCGTTGGGGATCTGAAAGTTTTAGGAAAAAGGTCAAATAATAAATGTTGTAACAATTCTTAAGGGCCAGTCTCAGGGACTTTAAAAGCCTGAAGCTACTTAAAGAAGCAGTTTGTTCATGACTGACACAAAGGTAACATTTCTTTTGCAAAGTGCGAGCTGGGAGTTAGGGCATTTCTGTTCTCAAAAAGAGGTAGGTCACCTTAAGCACTTTGGTCTGTCTTTGACTTGCCCCAGGAACTCAAGGTTCAAGGATTTTTCTGTTGTTCATGGAGGTTCTTCTATATTTCTGCCTATATTAGGTTTAGATAAGAATATAATTTAATCTCAAAAGTCAATTACTTATTAAAAATCTTGTCAGCAACATAAAAACCCAAGGAATTTGATTAATAAAAAATTTGAAAATATTGATTTTATTTATATTATAGGTATCTCTGAATAACTCAGTAATGTTAACGACTTCATTTGTTATCCATTTATCCTGCAAAGAATGTAATAATCATAAGACTATAGGAAATAATATTCATTAAACATCAGACATATACTGAATATTACCATTATTGATAGAGTTTGAAAATAAACTTTACTTTTGAGGTACTTAATCTAAGGCAATATACATTACTGACTTCTTTGAAAAATGAAGTAAATTCTTCCCTCTGCTGAGTAGATCTGTGGAATTAAGCAATTCATTGGGACTCAGTTTTCTCATCTGTGAAATAATAAAATAAAAACTCAGAGTGAGCATTAGGGTGTATTATCTCTAAGTTGCCTTCTAGCTCAATCACTTTATGATTCTAAGTAATATATCTTCATTCCAATGTAAATTTTTCTCAACAATAGAACACTTAACTGTTCATTTTACAAATATAACTTAAGCTTTGTAAGCCAGAGCTGCTAAAAAAGCAATGAGAACCTAATTTGATGAAAGGGAACAGAAGTATTCAAATTTGACATATTGCCTTTACAAGTATTAATAAAAAAATCAAATAATACACAATTCCCCACTCTTCAGTGATTGCAGGATAAGAAAGTAGTATTACTGCTTTTCATGCATGCTCCTTTTCTGTTTCCAATTACTGCTTAAATCAGTGGCAAAAAAGATTTCCCTTGAAATATGTTAGCAACTTCCTTCATTTTCTGCAAATAGAAATAACTATTTAGTTTAAAGGAAGGACCTGAAATAAATATCACTGATAGCACTTTAACATTAGTGCTAAAAATGAGATTTTAAAAGATAGGTTATTGCTATGACTCTATTATAATAAAAAATCTATATTTGGAACAACATAGACTATATTTGAGAAAATATAGACAAGGCCTTTTAAATGATCCCAATATTGTAAGATAGTAGATCATTCTGTAAGTTGCAAGGATCTCTGTCTTTGTGGGTGGAGAAAAAGGAAAGTGATGGTCTGACTGCAGTTATCTGGGAGAAATGACAATTACAGGTAGAGAGGGACCATTCCTGTGCCAAATAGGTTAATTTTTGGCAGAGAGACTCTCCTTGATCTAGTAAAATTAATGAGGCTTTTACTGAATTAAACCAACTTGGTGAGTTTTGCTAAAGCTTTGGAGGCTGTCAAAATCCTGCCAACAATAGACACTGGAAGAGTTTGAAAGAAAGAATAAGCATCTCTTGAATAATCAGGAACTTTAAAGAATATTAAATATATAAGTGAATAGAATTAAGAAAATGAATGTATATTTTAATAATAAGGCAAATTTTCAGAGTTTCAAAGCATAAAATGCTTTTTAATTTTTTTCCTTAAGCTTTTTACTATAATATTGATTAAAGAAAAATATAAAGACCAAAGGGGCAAAACAACCTAGCAATCAATGCCACAATTATTTAAAACCTAAGAGGTAAGAATTACCATTATTATATACAACCTAAGGGGTAGAAACTGTATTTAGTGACCTGTGCCTCTGTGATCTGAGGTTTTTCTTTCCAAAATTTGTCTCTTGCTGAGGAAATGTGCCTGTAAGCCCATGCTCACAGATTGTTGTACAACTGCGGGGATGATTCTAAGTAAAACTGTGACTTCAGCCTTTGCCTTGAGCTCCCAATTCAGCTTCTCTTCCCACGTTCAGGTAACGTGCACTTCCCATTTCTCATGAATCCCTCCCTCCCACCACCCGCCTCGTTCACCAGGATCTGCTGGTCTGACATCTATGTTTCATAATTAATAGAGTACACTCATGTTGGTAAGAAACCAGAGGGAATAAGGCTCCAAAATTGCTCATTCCTTTCACAGCCTGTTATTTTCATCAACTGTTATCAATAGTTCCCAGATTGGCAGATTTTATAGCCCAGTAAAAATCCAACAACCACCACAAAATGAGATTGTGAAGGGGAAAGAGAGAGCAGTAAAATAGAGCTATCAGTTCAGGGTTGGGTTGATAAGAAGAGAACCTCCACACACATGCACTCAAACACACACTTACATCCACAGCCACCCACACTCACACCCACACAAACACCCCTCTACACACACACAAACTCATGCTCTCACGCACAGTCACCTACACTCATCCACGCTGATATCCACACTCACACATATCCACAGAAACACAGCCCGCACACCCACACACTCTCACTCATATTTCCACCCACAGTCACCCACACCACCGATACTCATGCACACTCACAGCCACAGCCATAATCACAGACAAACACACCCCTCACACACTCAGATACACACACACCTACAGCCAGCTACACTCACCCACACACACACTCAGGCACACCTGCACACACTCAAACACACACAAAACCCCACTCACGCACACTTGCTATGCGGCCCCAGTACATATAACCACAGCACAGAAATCAGTAGGCACGAGGGAGCCCCACAGAGCATGAGGGGATGCAAAGTATTTCAGTGTGGCTTTCCCTTCCCCTTGCTTCTCTAGAGAGCACGTGGCTGTTGGTGATCTCTTCCAAGCTGGTAGAAACCTGCCAGCATTGAGAAGAGGCTTGATTCTTGCTCACCACAAGCCTTCCGTGGCATTCCTTTCGGCATTCCAGAAGCAGTTGCATTGATCATCTACACATTTCCATTAAGGAGACGTCTATATCACCTGCACTCATGTCCAGATTTTTGAACCAACTCAACCTAAGTAAAGTCCTATCCTTATGCTGAGGAGAGGAGAGAAAGCAAGAGGCGGTGCCTGAGTTCTCTGATACCTCTCTTAGCCTTCTCCAGGAAACCTGACTTTTTGCAAAGTAAGGGAATCAAAATGTAGTGAAATAAAACACTGCCACCTTTTTGCACCAATAGTATTAAAAATTAAAATTATTTTTTATCATTTATTATACTACTTATGATATAATTTTATTGTATATTAAAATAACATTACCATCAAAGTGTCATAATCTCAAAACAAAAGAAAGCCCTTTCACATCAGTTTCTGCAGGCCAGGGAAAGCCACATTATTGAATGAGATGTTCCCATATTACATCTGGGGCTCATTGAGCTACATCAAGGGTATTTGTCTGTTAGTAAACTGCTTAGCCGCCAGCTTTGATTTTCCATATATAACTAAGTTGCACTATGCTATCTTTCCCTTGCATTATTTTAAAGCACACAAGGTGGCGATAAGGAAGCATATAAATCCCAGGGGCTTTCATCTGACGTGAGAATTTATGAATTCAAAACAAAGCCCTTGTTTCTCAAAATTCAATTCACTTGTTTATTAAGTAAACAATTAACTATAAGTTGTTTTCCTTAATAAACAAAACTTACCACTATAACAAAATTAAGTCTACAGAGCAAAAACCAAAAGCACTATAATCCCCGAAAACAAACATTTGTTTTTGCTACGTTTCTCCTAATCTTTATTCTCTATCTTGAATGGATTTTTTTAATGAGTGATTCACTCAAAATTTCGGCTTTGTGGCATTGAAGCCAAATCATGACTTAACACCCTTTATTTAGTCCCTTGAGTCTGTCTGTGGCTTCTGCTTGTGTCTTCCAAAGTCCCCAGTTGTTCTTAGCCCACCTTTCCCAGTGCTTACCTGTGTGATGAGAACTGGTTGTTACTCCTCCCCTATTATCAGGTCTTCAAAATGACACATCTGTAAGCTGTTTACATCTCTACCTTACAGAGTGAGTTGGAGAACAGACAGAGAAGAATCAATAGTTTATACAGTGGCCCTTCTCAAATGGCATTTGCACTCAAGGACCCTAAGGTATGTGAGCAGGGCCAATGGAGCAGATTTGGGATTTAAAGACACTTTTGCTTAAATTGCAGTAGGTAGCAGTTCTCAATTTTGAATTATGAAGATGATGAAGGAGAAGACTAGTGTAGAGCTTGTGGGGAATGTAAGGGAAGGGAATAAAATGGAAATGTTACATTCAAGCAAGAATGCTTCCATCACCCTTGTGTTCTGTCATTGGGCTAAACTGGGCAGCCAGAGTGCTGTGGCTTTTGATGTGTGTCAGCTAGTCTAGTTCTTCTCAGTCCTCACTCAGAGAGATTTAAAAATGTTGATGATTCAGTTCCGCCCTCTTATAGTCTGAATTAATAGTTTTAGAATGGGGGTGTTTTTTGCTTATTTTACTTCCCCAGGTGATTTTACAGTGAAGTCAGGGCTGAGAGCCAAGGGACATAACCAGTGATATAACCAAAATATGAAGGAACATCACTTCAATCTTAGTACCTCTTCCTCAATCATGGTAAGAATTCTTGAGATGCAGTCTGTACCTGGATCAGAGGGAAAATAAGAAAATAAATCCAATTTTTTTCCATTGGCTTACATTGTTATTAAACTTTATGAATTTTAAATTCATGTATTTATAACATGTATCAACACTGTTTTATCAGAGTTGCCAGATAACCTTAGGAAATCTATTTTTTCCCCTGGAGTTTATTTATAAAAGTAAAAATATATAAATTGGGAAGACATGTTAATTATGTAAAAGAGCTTATTGTTTATTCATTGTCGTAGAGCATTAGAACTAGAGCAGACCATAAAGATCATCTATGTGTTTTTCAGACTGAAGCTGTGATCTTTTTGGGAAAAGCTGAGTGTTGCGAGAAGCTGAGGCAGGGCTTGCATGTCTGACATAATGTAAAAGAGTCTTGGAACATGTCTGGGGTCCAGGGTCTAAAACCGCTTGTGGCCTTTGACACACCAAGCTCTGTGCCAAAGGGTGGAAGTCTGGCCTGATGCACCATAATCTAAGCCCAGGGCGTAAAACCCCTCGTGGTTCCGGAATGTGTCTAGACTTACTGGCTCCTTGCTTCTAGCCCTCCCAGGCTCCTAGATCGATTGTGTCTTAGAATTGGCCATATAAATGCTAAACCATCACAGCTGTAAATCATGTGCTTAATGCAATGCTCCTTTTCAACCCCACATTCTCACTACCTGTTTCTTTGTTTGAACACCAAGAAATAGTCTGGGCTTCCAGAGCTCAGGGCCTTCGCAGCCTCCATACTTGCGTTGGCCCCCCTGGACCCACTTTCTCTCTCATACTGACTTTTCTCATTCCTTTGACTCCGCCGGACTTTGTTGCCCCCATGACCTGGTGTTGGGTCTGATCACCCCAACAGATATAGTAGAGTGTTGTGAAATCAATTTAGAAAGCTGCAACTAGCATTTTTATGCAAGAAATAATATGACAGAATAAAGTAGATTGAAAGATAAAATATCAGAGTCCATCACATGCAGTAAGTGTAAGTGTTTTGTGGATGTTTTGTGAAACTTCATTGTCATGACCTATGTCTTACAGTGGGTGGTCATCAAAATGTGTGAAAGCCACTAGTTTAAGCTGATTCTGCATCTTTACTGATGGAACAAATGGATTCCAGAGAAGCTAAGGAAATTACTCACATTCGCACAGCAGCTTGAAAAACACTGGATTAAAACCAGACTTCTGACTATTCTTGTTTTTAGGTTTCCTTTTGGGGAGTATTACGTCGCATAAAACAGGAAACTCTTTGGAAAAGCAGGTAAGTAGGATGCCTTTGTAGTCGTGTAAAGCAAAAGACTTCAAGTTTGAGGAGGCTAAACTGGAGAAAAGATAGAATTCAAATTTGTAGATGAAATGAAGCATACTAGATTCTGCTACTTTTTATTTGAACTTTTTGTTTTAGCCCAGAAATTGTTTTGGGAAGATATATTAAATTAAAGTACAAGTTGGATTGAGACATAGAGACACTGAAGAAAGAACAGATGCGTGGCTACTGGAATGTAACTGATAAATAATATCTAAGTTGTCAGTGACAATGACAATGGAAGGCAAAGAAACCCACAGGACCATTTAGATCTGTGGTAGACTGGACTTAGGAAGAGAATGACTGGAGGTCAGTATTTCTCAAAGTAAATTTGGTCATTTACATCTTAATCACTTGAGATCTTTGTTAAAATTCATATTCTTAATCCCAGCACCTTGGGAGGCTGAGGCGGGCGGATCATGAGGTCAGGAGTTTGAGACGATCCTGGCCAACATGGTGAAACCCCGTCTCTACTAAAAATACAAAAATTAGCTGGGTGTATTGGCATGAACTGAAGTCCCAGCTACTTGGGAGGCTGAGGAAGGAGAATTGCTTGAACCTGGGAGGCAGAGATTGCAGTGAGATTGCGCCATTGCACTCCAGCCTGGTGACCGAGTGAGACTCTGTCTCAAAAAAAAAAAAAAAAAAAAAGATATTCTTGGGTTCTCCTTTGGCTCTTCCAAAATGGGTGAGACCTAGGATTTTGCGTTTTCACATATGCTGCCAGGTGATTCTTATGCTCTGTAAAGTCTGAGAAGCACTGGATTCAGATATGAAAAAAAAATCAGGTATCAATTATAATCAAAATATTTCTAACTTAATTTTGTTAGTCTGTCTGTAAGTGAGGCACAATTCCAAAAGATGATGGAAGTGATGGTATAGTATATTGGAAGAAGACCATAATTGATCTGGTATATAGACTTTCTTACTACTTAGCAGGAGACAAAAATTGCCTTCTGCTCTGTGTCTAATTGCCTTTATTCATTTATTTAATCAATCCATCACTCAACATTGAATGCTTCCTATATGCCTGGCACTCTGTTGAGCTCTGGGAATGAAAAGGTGAGCAGAGGATTATATTAGAAACATAATTCAATTTACTGTCATACCCAACATCTCTCCCAGTTTAACAGCTTCTCCTTTAGTTCTTGGAAAATACAGGCCCCTGTTCCCTTTGGCACACTCTCATTCCCAAGTCACAACCAAATGGGTCAGGAATGTGCACCTGCCCTGACACCAGGCAATCAATTGACGAGATGCTCTCTCTTCAGAATTTGAAGATGGTGACATTATGGCTGTAGTCAGTAAATTGCTGAGTGTAAGTGTATGAGTTATGACTTTATATCCAAGTGATGGTCACAGCTTCTTCATGGCTAAGTCCTTCAGACCTTAGTTTACATGTCACTTTTTAAATAAGTCCTTAATGACCTCCTAGAATGGCTCATATTTCTCCCTTGTTTCCCTCATAACAATTGGAATAATTAATTGTGATAATTATTTATTGCCAATTTTCTCCCACCAGAATATATTTCATGAAGGCTGGGTTACTTCTATGTTGTCTTAAAATAGCTCTATGCTTTGCAACATAAAAAATGTTTAATAAATGCATCATTACAAAATTTACTTGAATTCATTCCATATTTAATAATTTTAAATGGGCCCAAATAGGTCTTAGTTTTAAGATTTTCTTAAACAGTTGTGGAATGATCTAGTTTTCTAGTTTACTTTCTTCCAGCACCTACTATTGTGAAGAGCCAGAAACCAGATTACATCACCCTTGTCATTATACTTGAAATGTTTCTTATCTCCTGCTTGATTTGTTCAAAAAAATGAAGGATCCTTGAACCCCATGAATGCATTATGAAAGGCCTAAGGTTTCAAACACTTTCTAATAATTTGTTTCCCTTTCTTTATCTAAATAAATAGTTGCCTTTGATTTCATTGCTCATATTTTCCACATCTGTCAGCAAGTCCTGCCAACTCTTCTGTCAGTTCCTATCTTAAATGTATCCAGTTATCTCCACTTCCATCTGCACTACTCCAGCCCAGTTCAGGTCACCATCATCTCTCACCTGAACCACTGCAATAGCCTATTAACTGGCTTCTTTCCTGGAGCTCTTTTCCCCCAAAATGACAGAGTAATGTTTGGCAAATAGGAGTAAGATTTTGTCTCATCACCACTTAAGATTTCCCTGTGGTTTGCCGAAGGCACTTAGAATAAGCTCCAAGCTTCTTTCTCTGACCTACCCATTCTAGTCCTGCCTACTTTTCTGACCTTAAATTATTCCACTCTCCCAGTTGTTGACTTATCCTCCAGCCACACTAAATTGCTCTTCAGTCCCCAGACACACCAAGCTCATTTCTACCTCAGGCTTTTAGTAGCTTACTTTTTAGCTCAGCTCTTATTTCTGCCTGGAATGCCACTGGCTCTCCTTTCCACATGGCTGACTCCCTCTTGTCACACACTTTCAATGCCACCTTCTCAGAGAGGCTTTCCCTGACTACCCAATCTAAAGAAACACCTGCTTACCAGTTTCTACATTATCCTACATTAACTCTCTTCCTGGCCTTATCACTGTGTTATTATTGTTGTTTTTTAAATGTTTCTACTGTTTGTCTCACTTCACTAGAGAGTAAGCACCATGAAAGCAGGACATTGGCTCTCAAATTCACTTTGGTATTCCTGAAGCCTAGAATGCGCCTCTGGGGGTATGGTAGAACCTTGATAAATATTTGTAGGAAGAACAAACTGTTGCATCAAGATGTAAGAGCTCTAACCTGAAACACCTTCTCTGGCCACAAATTGAAAATTTTACCAAAGTGCATTTATTTTAATCAAACGAAGAATCTCACAAAGGATAACAGTTTATTCTTTACCAATAAGTGTGTACAAGCTTGAGTCTTCTTTGCATCAACTGTACCAGGGAAGAAAAAGCACTTTCATTGTTACCTATGTCAGCAAGGGTAGGAACAGCTTCAGATAGAAGAACTCTGGAGTTTAGAGCTTGTCCTCCACTGATCTCCTTGGAGGGAAGGATGAATCACTTAACCTCAGGGCTCTCTTGCTCTGCCTTCGGATTAATCATATTGACCTTTCTGGCAGGGTTCGTAGAAGAGTTAACTAATCAATGTCTATAAAGCATTTGGATAATGAAGAAGGCTACAGAAATAATGATGATAATAATCTGTCTTTTGCTGATGCATGGCATGAGCAAAGAAAAAAGGCCACAGAAATATATTTTTATGCTGTACAGACTTTTATGGTGATGTGCAAACATTGTGCAACCTTTACTTTGTACAGACTGCCTTTTATTCTATGAGACCTAGACCCTCAAATTGTTGCTTTCTTAAAGGCAGCTATCCTAATATTATTTTCAAAAAAAAACAACAACACAATTGTGCCAGGTTGGAGCAATTTTCTACCTTTTACTTGCCTATAAGTGGCAAATTGTCACCTTTTTTATTACAGTGCTCTTTTGTGTCAGAGAAGACATAAAACATGAACTTCAAATAACTGTAGACTGAAACCATCCAGGTGGGTGTTTTGTTCAAATTTAGTTTGATGAAAATGGCTGGGAATGTTTGCTCTGTGTTTGTATTTCTACTGGAGAAGAGCCCATTCCCTAGGCGATTGCCTTCCCTCATACTCTATGGTTATGCTAAGGTTGCTGAATGGTTAATGAGAATATTAAGCATTTGCTGTTTCATGTAGGGCTGCCTCTAGGATAAACATGGGAGGAATGGATTTAGTGTGGTTTACCAACATTTTCCTGCACTTTAAGTATCCCTTCCTACTACTAGCTTTATATTCTTGTGTCTTAAACTCCATCAAAAGATTCCATTACATGTTTCACATCTGTACCCTTCCATAAAATGGTGCTTTAAGAAAATTGTGGGGATAAAGAAGCATTTAATTCAAAGGAATGCATTCCTAATGGAGCATCTATGAAGGGGTTAGCATTTTCGGCAGAGAACTTTCTGGTGTCCTGTACGTTATGTCATATAATATTGCCTTACATTACCAATATTGTTATGGTTTAAAGCTTGCCCTATTTCAAGTTCAATAATTGGGTCAAGGTTGAATTCAAGACAGTATTTTTCATTTTTGATAATGCCATTTCCACATCCCCTAGAAAGTTACTCCATCAGAACCAGGAAAGAATGCTCTATCATGACAGTACTTGCTGGCTAGATTGCCTTCCCACTCTGTTTTTAAGACAGGTATAAATTAATAAAGTGTTACTGTTGAACAGAAGATAGCTTTAATACAGGGAATTTCAAGAGAGTAAAGAGAGTAAAGAGAGTAAGACCCAAAATGGTATGAAGCAAAAAGAAAAAAAAATCAAATTTCTAATATTCCCAATTTGAAAGACACTAGTAAACTTGAAACTCTTGCTAGCTTCAAAGAAGCTATAACAAAGAAACAATTTTCTCTGTCATGTTTTGTGTACTCTAAAACATCCAGAAAGTCATGTAACTTTGTGCCTGTATTCAAAATGCTGAGAAAATAAAGTTTTGCATGTGTGATACTGTCAAACTGGTCAGAATATCATTGTGTTATTGAAATTCTAAGGAGCTATTCCTCAGAAAGGACTAAAATATGCTTTTTAATGAATCAAAAGCATCAGAGAAGTACTCTTTCGCAGCTGCTTGATATCTGTGAACATCCGGTGTCCAGGTTCCCTTTCACAATTAGAAGTGCAAAAGGAAAACTCAGCCTTCCCAAATTGCAGGGAATGTTTCATATAACAGTAAAGGGCTGCTCCCATATATCCTCAGTCGACAGACAATAAAAGAGAAAATTGGTGTACTAAAAAATGATCGTAGGGCTTTGGAGATGGGAACGGTAGTGGTAGATTTGTTAAACAGTTATTTTGGCTCTAATCTTTCTAGAGGACAAAGAGGATGGAGAGCTTTTTTTTCTTCTTCTCAACCTCCATGTTGTGAAAATTATATTTATCAAAAACAAAACAAAACACAGAAACAAGTCCTGTATTAAATAACGTAGACTTTCATGTAAGAAAAATAGGAAGGCAGTCAGCATCGTGAAATCAGGATTTGGTCGCTTCTTTCTGTTCTGGGGCCTTTGCCCTTGCTATTCTTCCCACACCCTCTTCAGGCGCCCACATAGCTCCTTCCTTTTCTGCCTTCTGATCTTATTCAAATGTCCCTTCCCAGAGAAGTCATCTGTAGAAAATAGCACCTGAAAAACCAGGACGCCTCCATCTCCATATCACCTTTTCCTCTTATTCAACTTTCTATTTCTTTGTAGCATTTATTACTTCCAGGTTTATTACAAACTTGGTTTACTGTCTGACCCTTATATTAGCATTTAAGCTTCATAATGGCAAGCACTTTGTCTTTTTTTCTGACCGTTATATTCCTAGAGCCCACAACAGTATCCGTGCAGTGTAGGGGCTTATGAAATATCTGTGGAAGGGAATGGATGAGTTGCTAAAAAATTATTGCCATTATGTAATATCAATTTCTCCGTTGTTTACTAGATTTAGTTTCCACTCTTCCTTGAGACTCAGGGCATAAATTCATCTTCTAAGCAATTTTTTTCCAGCATGATTTTTTGTTTATTTCTAATATTTATTCTGCAGTTAGCCAAACTGGATTACTATATTTGTTGTTTACAAATACACCCTATAATATAATTGGAAAAATACTGGTTTTTGGTTTAGACCAATTTCTAGTCTAGTTGTGCCTTAGTTGAGCCTTGCCTCTTCTATGTACAACACATCAAGGCATAGTTATCTAATGATGCATAAAGAAGTAGTGGTCTTTGTGAATTAATGACTTTCCACTATGTGTTTCAGTTGAAATTCACAAGTATGGTGCACTTCCTATAGCATAGCGGGAAGGTCTGTGGCCTCCAAAGATGCTGCTACAGATAACCTGTAATTTGGGAGTGGAACAGATGAGGGAGTCTCTCTTTTCCGCTATTATGCTCAGCTGTGCTGGCTCCATGTCACAGTAGACCTGATTCTATAGGTCTTCTTGGCACCACTTCTTAAAAAGTATAGATTTGTCATTTACCTGTGGGCCCCTGGAGGTCCAGGTCAAAAGAGGCTGTTAGGATAGTTGTCTTATTCACCTGGAGCCAACAATAGTCTTCAAATGTTAGGAGTGTGCCCTGCTATTCTCGTATCCTAAGAAATGGTCATCATTCTTCCCATTTGCCTGTAAGCCCAGTGGTTCAAAGCACCATTTTGAGGCTAGAGCCTCTACCCCCACTGTAGCCACCAGCCTAATGGTGCTGCTATAGTTTTTAGCCTGTTTTCACATATCCAAGAGTAGCTCACCCTCAATGAAAGAACCAAACCCAAAAGAATCTTTTCCAGCCCCAGCATTCTCAAGGCCTGCTTGAAATTTGCCTCAGCATGATTGACAGCAGGAATAGTCACTGGCTTTGTCAAGCATTCCCCTGGCCCCACATCTCATTAAAGGCAGTGCAAAACAATAGACTCCAGGATCTCCAGATTTTTCCATGATGTTGTGGTTCACATTGGACCACACACAGTCCTATTATGATAAATAAAACCATGGATTCTGGAGAAAGAGTTGGTCTTGTTAGAAAGATGACTTTGGTCTGGAAACCTTGAATATAAAGATCCCTTATTCTGCTCACTCTTCCTGGGAGATCTCACCTGGTAAATGATTCCATCTTCCACCTCCATCTGAACTGTGTTTTCATTGCTGGCTGTTCAGAATTACCAGGAAAAAAGCCTAGGTAACAGCATTATCTAATGCTCCGATGATTCTGAAGAACAATTATGGTTGAGAAACACTATCCACCTTGAGGATTATTCCAAAATTTCTTTCTCTGGGCCATATTTCTCCACTGGGCTTTAGCACCCACTTTAAATTGACTGGGTGTCTCCAATTGGATACAGACAACAACAATGAATAATATGATTAGAGAACATTTACACATCAGGCCATGTCTCGTGAGCCTTTCCTACATATACTACTCACAGTATTCCTAGGGGACAGGAACTATTATAATCACCCCATTTTACAGAAACACTGCTCTCTTAACCACTGTTCTATGCTGTCCCTTGTTTCCAGAAGTTATCAAGGCCTAACTGAACTCAGCACACTGAGATATCATCAAGGTTTCCTTTTTTCTCTTGCCCTCTGCTGAATTTACTCCTCTTCTCATATCCTTTACTCTGGTGAATGGCACCAGGGTCCACGCAGTTGACCAAGTCATACTCTTGGGAGATATAAGTGGCTCTTCCATTCCCTCACTGTTTTCATAACCAGTTTGAGATCTCATATAGTTCATTTCCACGGTATCTCTTAATATGTTCTTTTTCCTTTCCTATTGCCATTGCTGTAATTTAGGCTGCTTTTTCCAGAGTCTCTGTAGCATCCTACAGTCTCCTTCAATTCAATCTATACATTGTTGTCGAGAAGTTATTTCCAAAGTCCCAATCAATCCTATTACTTCACTACTTAATGCCTTTTAGCTAATTCTCCTAGACTTCCTGATAAAAATCAAACTCTTCAATATTGTGCAAAATTTGTCTGGATCCACTGCTCCAGTCTTTTACCATGCCTCTTCTATAACTCTATTCTGACCTTCTACCACCCTCATGTACTCTAACCTTTACCTATTAAATTGCTTAAGACCTTGAGCATTATTTTCTAGCATACTTCAATAACTTTGCTCATGCTGCTCACTTCTTCATCCTATTGCCCATGTAACAGAAGTACTTGAAGGTGCTGCCTGTTCTTCTGCCTTAGGTAGATGTACTTTCTATGTACTCTCCCAGGATTTTATGCATAGTCCTGCAGAAAATAGATCTATTACACTATATCGATAGGCTGTGTTAGACAGCTTTTTGAAGACGGAGACACTTCAGTGGTCCTATGCTTAGAAAGTGGGTCAGGCCAGTACCACACACTTAATAAATGTTGGGTTGAACAAACATATGTGTTAGGAATCTGCTATATGCCAAGCCTTCTCACAAGGCCTGTTAAGAGAATGTAATATCAGGTGATCTAAGAGGTTGCTTTCAGAGTGATCACAGTGTAAGTGATCAGTTCCTTAAAAGAAGTGTGAATAAATTACCAGCAAACTTACTGAGTATAGCCTTATTTAGTGGTAATCTAAATAATTATTGATGGTCAATAATATTTAACTAAAATTAGGTATCTATTTTGAAATTCTCTGCAGAGATATTTCTGAGTTAAATTTATGCCTGAGTTTAGTCAAACCTTGCAGTTTATTAACTTGGTATTATTATATTTCATAAGATAGGCAATGCTGAATCAATAGTGAGCTTGTCTCACTATTCTTAAGCTCTCATACAGACAGAAAAATAAGTCATCTGTGTTTTTGTGTGTAAAGCAAGGAGCCACCAACCATTTGGTGGCAGTTACAGAAATTACAAGAGTGACATTTAGGAGATGGTAATGAGTCTCTGAGTAGAAATAACAAGAGAGTTTGGGTGATTTTACAAGCTATCAGTAAGGAACTGAATGATTTTAATCTGGCTCTTTTAAAATTTATTTGATAGAGATGAAATACATCTAAAGTGCCATGGTATTCCCGTCTCTACTAAAAATATAAAAATTAGTCCGGTGTAGTGGCACATGCCTCTAATCCTAGCTACTCGGGAGGCTGAGGCAGGAGAATTGCTTGAACCCGGGAGGTTGAGGTTGCAGTGAGCCAAGATCGCACCACTTCACTCCAGCCTGGGCAACAAAGCGAGACTCTGTCTCAAAAAACCAAACACACAAAAACAAACAAACAAACAAAAAAAACGAAAAGAAGTACATCTAAAGTGTCTAGTTTAGCTAACTTTGTTTATTTAGCAAAGATATTAGCTAAAAGAAAACATCAAGTAAATAAAAGCCATGCAATTCTACCTCTCCAGTTTGTACAAACCTTACTGCTTAACCATAATGATATCACAGTAATTTTAGTTAATATTTTATAATTAATTTTAAGTATGTATGTGTAATTACATTCTACCAATTTCCTTCCTTCAGCATATTATTACTTAAATGATGGTCTTGCTTACATTTTAGAAAACGATCCTAGCTCTTGTAAAGTGGTGTAGAGAAATCTAAACTAACTATTTAAGAGTAAGAAATAATTTTCAAAATTTCAAAATTGGAATATCATCCCTAAGATTCTTTTGATTTGGGGTATGTGCTGACATTAAGAACATATGTTAAAATAATTGCCTTCACATAAATGTTCTCATGTGGATGTCTTTCACAGCCCATCCAAACACACTTGATATTTATAAAAATATTCCCCAGATTCATTTAAAACCACCTGGCCAGGTTCTGCCTATGAACATATCATGTAGTGCCACAGATTTCTTTGCACATCATTAATACATGTATTCTGTGTTCTGTGTTTCCAAATATTTTTATTTTTTAGGACAAAATTTCTCTTTTTTGTGAGGCTTTTCAGAAACCTCTTCTATATTTCATGTCTAGTTCTATTATGTCCTGAGTCACTTCTAAATAATCTTCTCATCTTTGAATATCACCTTGATCTTGTTGAAGTTAAATTTAAGACAGAAGTATATCTTCCAGGAACTAATTTCTGACAGATACTTGGATAGCAGGGAAACCATTTCTCCTGTGTCTAGTAGAAAGGAGATTTGCATGCAGGTTGTGAAGATTTTTATACTGCTTCACTGTACACACAAAAATTCATATAAAATACATTGGCTTTCCTGAAAACTTCCCCTAAAATATAGCATGTGTTGTTTGACCTTAAATCCGATTGAAGTCAGGTTAAACAGTGCTGTGATTCTGGCATTGTGATAAAGTGCATGTACTCTACAGCCAGACCACCTGGGTTTTAATTCCAGCCAAATTACTTATTGGTAATGTGATGTTAGGTAATTTGCTTCTCTGGTAGTTGATTTCTTAATATCTAAAATGGGCAATATTCCATTTTACAGACTTTATAAGCATCTATTTTATATGCTTATTTTTAGGAATAAATAAATCAATACTTATAAAGTACTTAGAAGAGTACCTAACATTGGCACATAGTAAGACTTTGTAAAAAATAAAAATAAAAATAAATCCAAAATTCTGTTCATTGTGGCTGCAATTTGTATACTTAAAAGCATTTTTATTTATGTTCTTATGTACAGTAGTCACCCCTTATGTTCAGGGGATATGTTCCAACACCCACAGTGGATGTTTAAAACTTAGGGTAGTACTAAACCCTATATATAGTATGTTTTGGTCTCTCTATACACACACCTATGATTCAATTTATTTTATTAGGTAGGCACGGCAAGAGATTAGCAATAATCATGAATAAACTAATAAACAATTAAGTTCAATAAGGGTTATTTGAACACAAGCACTGTGATACCACAGCAGTCGATCTATTTGCGATGGCTGCTAAATACCTAACGACCAGGTCGTGTTCAGGGTAGACATGCTGGGCAAAGTGGTGATTCACCTCGTGGGAGGGATGAAGGGTGGAGGAGGATGACATGAGATTTTGTCATGTTACTCAGAATAGCAGAAAATTTAAAACGTGTCAGTTGTTTATCTCTGGAATTTTTCATTTAATAATTCTGGACCTTGGATGAGAGCAGGTAAGTACAACTCCGAATTAGGGGGAAGGAACTATTGTAAATATTTTTCTGATGAGGTCACTTAACAAAAAGTGGAGGAAAAATAAAAGTTCAAACAGGGTAAAGGGAGATGGTGTCATAGTCCAAAGCTTCATTTGTAATTGTTTCCATTTCTGCAGTCACGTGACATAGAGTAGATCAGTATGAGTAACAAATTATTAGCCTTATAAGTATAAAGGGAATTGAATGTGATGCATTAACAGGAAGTAGAACTTTCGTTCATAACTTTCTTATTTGGCACAGACCTTGATCTCATACGACCTCTTCCTGGATTGTTTCTTCTAAACAACCAGTTAGACCAAAATGTATACTGTTTAACTTAAATAAAAGGGAATACGTATTTACTTCTGGATTGGATTGGATTGATTTCCCTGTAAAACTAACTAAAGAAAATATAGCCAAAGAACAGAATAAGCGTTCACTCAGATCACCTCGCTAGTTTTAGTCTGGAAGTAAATTTCAAATTCAGAGAATATACTATATAAATGTAAATTGTACCTTTTTGAAATGAATTCATGAATTTGTATTCACATGGGCCAAATCTTATGTTCTGTTTGGGTTGGGGTTTTGTCCACAGGAGTCTGTTACACTGTGAAAAAAAAATAAGCAAAGCTATTTAACTTTTAACTTATCACACTGACACATTTTTCAGAGAAATTCAATGGATGCAGGAATTGAAAGTGGGAAGATTTAAAGATGACTTCCAGGATTCTGGCTCGAGCAGTTGGATGAATGACATGACATTTAATAAGAATAGGGACAATAGAGAAGAAGCAGAAATTTGGGAAAATATGATGAGTTCAGCATCAGACAGGGAGTAGTTTACGTGTCTTACAGCACATCTGATGTGAGACACTAAGCACCGCAACAGGAGAGGTGTGACTCCGGAGAGATGAGGGCCAGAGATGCAGATTTGCAGTTGTCAGTGTGCAGACCGCACTCCAAACCACGTGAAAGGCCTGCCAGGAGGATTGTGTGCAAGGAATAGAAAATAAAATTTAAGCCAGAACCCAGAAAAATACAGGTACTTACAGGAAGAGTAGATTAGGAGCCAGAAGAAGAGACTTAAAAAATAGTCATAGTTAGAGATATAATGTAATATTATGGAAATGAAAGAAGTGCAAGGAGATGATATGGTCAGCATTGTTGAGTAAATCCTTACATTATTAAAAAAACAGAATGCAGTGAAGGATCTAAATGAATTATCTTCGAGTAAGAAAAACAAGGCAAAACAATGATTATGTTAATCACAACTTAAATAATTCTTCTCATTTTATACGCAGACATGATAAACTTTGCAGGAAAGAACAAGTAGTTTAATATTAGTGAAGGGAGTTCATGAATTTAGAAAGTATCATAACATGGACATTTACAACAATCTCTTCCTTTTGTAGGTGGAAAGGTAAGTCCTGGGCAGGGAGAGTGATTTGCCTAAATCACCCAAATCATAAATAAAAGGAGCAGGGACAAAAGATTTTTGACTCTCGATACTTGGTTGGAAAAAAATCATTAAATCAAAAACAAAATGAGTTATAATAGCAAGGGTTCCTTAGCATTACGTAGAGTAGATCGGTATGAGTAACAAATTGTTAGCCTTATATGTATAAACGGAATTGAACGTGATGCATTAACAGGAAGTAGAATTCTTGTTCATAATTTTCTTATTTAGCACAAACCCGATCTCATAGGACCTCTTTCTCGGTTGTTTCTTTCAAACAATCAGAATTAGACAAAAACGTATATTGTTTTAACCCAAATAAAAGTAAACAAGTTTTTATTTCTGCATTGGATTGGAGTTATTTCTCTGTTACACTAAAGAAATATAACCAATGAGTGATTAACTAAAGAAATCACTACTCAGACAGTAATGATGACATGGAGTGCATCAGAGAAATTATTGCCTTTAAAGAAGAAGTAATAAGAAAGCCACAATATCCCCAGCAGAAATGGGGAAAGGGATTTCTTACCTGTCTGGGAATGATTGAAGTATTGTAAGGTCTGTCTAGAGGTTGAATAATGACCTGTCTTCCCCTTTTGTCATGTTGAGAGGTCCCTGCCACAGAAAATCACAATCACCTAGTCTGTATTAATAATCGTTCTGAGCAGTATTCTAAGTATCAGTTGCAGTCAATGCGATATAAAGAGATGTAAGTTTCAGATCTGATCTGTACTTGTAGTTTAAGTTGGACAACACTGATAAGCAAGATAACAAAGGAAACACAATCAACTAAATACTCATTGAATGTAATTGTTAAATTACTAACAATGAATATGAGAACAATTTTATTTGGAGGGTAGTGAGGGCGTGAAGGATTATAGAAATTGCCTGTTTGTATTCATGAAATTGAAGAGAAATTATTATTGCTTTTGCAAAGTCGCAGCATATTTTATAGTGTCATCTCAGGAAGTAAAGTTCCTTTTTAAAAGGTCCACCTTGCTGTAAAGCAGAAGGAACTGAAATTTTGAGGAAATGTCTTGGAAGTGTATTCCTCAATGTTGAATAGCACAGTATTGTCTCTCTATGTGTGTGTGCATGCTTTTATTCTGTAAGAATGTTGTACGTTAAGAATCTTGAGGCCGGGCGTGGTGGCTCATGCCTGTAATCCCAGCACTTTGGGAGGTCAAGGCGGGCAGATCACGAGGTCAGGAGATCGATACCATCCTGGCTAACACTGTGAAACCCCGTCTCTACTAAAAATACAAAAAAAAAAAAATTAGCTGGGTGTGGTGGTGGGTGTCTGTAGTCCCAGCTACTCGGGGGGGGCTGGGGCAGGAGAATGGCTTGAACCCGGGAGGCGGAGTTTGCAGTGAGCCGACATCGCACCACTGCACTCCAGCCTGGGCAACAGAGCAAGACTCCTTCTCAAAAAAAAAAAAAAAAAAAATCTTGAGATTTAATACTCCATAGTTACAGAATATTAAGTATTGAAATGCGGTCTCTACATTTTATGATAGTGCACCCCATTAGGTGAGACTAGGGATACAGTTCTCTTTTGGTCGGCTTCTGTTTCTCCCAATGGGAGGAACTAGTTAATTTAAACATAGACTCTACAATCAACAAGCTTGGATACTGAAATTTTTGGCACACCATAAAGACAGGTTCAACAAACTATGACTCTTAGGCCAAATATGGTTTACTCACTCTCAATGAAGTTTCAGTGGAACAGAGACACCCCATTCATTACTTGTCCATGGCTGTTTCATGCTACAATGGCATAGTTGAATAGTTGCAAAAAAGAGACTATAGTGCACAAATATAAAATATTTACTATCTGGGACTCAGAGTGGTGCATGTAGTCCCAACACTCTGACAGGTTGAGACAGGAGGATCACTTGAGTTCAGGAGTTCAAGACCAGCCTGGGAAGCACAGCAAGACCCCATCTCTAAAAAACATTTTAAAAAGCTGAGTGTGGTGATACATGTCTGTAGTCCTAGATTCTCAGGATGATGAGGTGGAAGATAATTTGAGCCCAGGAGCTGGAAGACACAGTGAGTTGTGATTGTACCATTGCATTCTAGCATGGATGACAGAGTGAGACCCTGTCTCTCTAAAAAAAAATTACTATCTGACCTTTTATAGAAAAAGTTTACTGACCTCTGCCATAAAGGAAGATATTAAAACGTTTAGTGAGATGGACATTTTGGAATTAATCTTTTATGTTCAACATGTTCAGCAACACTAAAAACATTACCTTGCTACATCTTCCCTCACTCCCTCCCTTCCTCCCTCCCCTCCCCTTCCCCTCCCTCCACCTCCCTTCCTCTCCCCTCCCCTCCCTCCCCTGACCTCCCCTGACCTCCCCTCCCCTTCCCCTCCCTCCCCTGCCCTCCCCTCCCCTCCACTCCTTTGTCCTCCCCTTCTTTCCCCTCCCCTGCCCTCCCCTCACCCTCTCCTCCCTCCCCTGCGCTCCCCTCCCCTCTCCTTCCCTCCCCTCCCTTGCCCTCCTTTCTCCTCCCTTCCCTTCCCCTCCTCTCCCCTTCCCTTCCTTCCTTCCAGGGTCTCCCTCTGTCACCCAGGCTGGAGTGCAGTGTCACAATCTCAGCTCACTGCAGCCTCCACCTCCCAGGCTCAAGTGATTCTCCTTCCTCAGCTTCCCTGGTAGCTGGGATTACAGGCATGCACCACCACACCCGGCTACTTTTTGTATTTTTAGGAGAGACGAGGTTTCACCATATTGGCCGGGCTTGTCTCAAACTCCTGGCCTCAAGTAATCCACCTGCCTCAGCCTCCCAAAGTGCTGGGATTACAGGCACGAGCCACCATACCTGGCCCTATTGCTACTTATCTTTCACAAAGGATATTTTGACATGTTTTAGAACACTGAACTTTAGCAATTTTATTAACATGGTAGGCCCCTGTCTTTTCATGGGAATTGTCTATCACCTGCCAACATGTGTGTGTCTTACTAGCAGAATACTGTGTCATCAGGTCTAATTAGCATGAATTCAATCATGTAAAATGCTAGCATGATGTTTTCTGGAATATGAGATGTCTCTGTAGCCTATATTGTAACAGATGAAGAGAATATAAATAACCTTGAGATAAGACAGAGAGGGAGTACTATTGCTCCAGTCAGATAAAGGTCATTGGTCATCTTCTTCTGATTGTGTTTATTAATTGATATCGGGAAAAAAGCACTCAATAGCTCAATAGGTGCATAAATAGATACCAGGTGCAAGGCCTCTGATAATTTGCACCAGTAAAGATTCCATATTTGCAATGGGAGCTGTGATTGGCATCACTCTCTAATTAAGTTTATGAGAATCTACTGTCACCCTCCAGGATCCATTAAGCCCCTGTATTAGCCAGAGTTGACTTATGCAGGGATATGATAAGAACTAACATGACTGCATCTTTCAGTTCTTTACTTTTGGAATTAATCTTGAGAATTCTCCAGAAATGTATATCATGTTAGTTTTGTTTTATTCAGGGTTCTTGGAGGGGCATTTGCTCTTGGCCATTTCTACTCTAGCAGTCCACACACACACACACACACACACACACAGCTTAGAGATGTTGACAGTTGTGTAATACGCTTTTCCAAAAAATAAAACTCAGAATGGTCCCTCAGGTCTACTGGACTCATTGTAAGGTAAACTATTTGCAAGACTTCAAATATATTTGAGCTCCAAATTCCTCACTCTTGTGAACAAAAGTGGGTGGGATTTTGAGTTCCTGGAAATTAGTGTCAACTCAGAGCCAAGAGCCAACGGCTAATAATTCCTCATGGATGCAACACATACTATATTTGATGTGTGCTGTTGTGGCCCATTTGCCAGAAGTAACCAATTGAGTCTGCAGTTTCTGAATGAAGTCTGGAGTAATAGAAAGCCCTGAAGCACCAGGTCCTGGCTGCCCCTTTCTCTCCTCCCATTTTTAAACTCAAATTCTTGTTATTTTGGCAAAACATATCGTTTTCTCGTTTTGTATAAATTTTTGGAAGATATGTGCAAGAATTCTATTTAGGTGACTGCTTTTTTCTTTGAACTTCTGGAAGGTCTCCTATAAACCCTTGAGAGCCGCGCTAAAATATAACACTTCTGTGTTCAAGAAATATCTGTTATTCCCTAAAGTACAAAATAAAGTCCAAGCATAAAAAAGTGTCCACAGTCCTTGTCCTTGCATTCTGTCTTCTCCATGGCTCTTTTAAGAAACTTCTACTTCATCCAAAGTGGTCTGTCATAAAAATGAAAATCACAGATCATATGGCTTTGCTTTGGAGTAGCCTAACTATTGCTGTTACTCAGCCTGGCCCACTTGGTTTGTAATTTCCACTTCACTTATTTAGTTTCTAGCCTTTCCTCTACACCAGTTTAGTTTCCATGTTTTCGTTGAAATCTTCCATTAGTGTTCTGGTGCAAATTAATTTATCTTGGTGTGATCTATCGTCTATCTGTACATCACACACATTGCAATAGGTTTATCCTTATCTCACCCTCTATATATGTCTGTATATAAACATGAACATGTCTGTAATTATTAGTACATGCTAGTATACTTACGTTTTCTTTTTCTTTCTTTTTTTTTTTTTTTTTTTTGAGACAGAGTCCTGCTCTGTCGCCCAGACTGGAGTGCAGTGGCACAATCTCAGCTCACTGCAGCCTCCACCTCCTGGGTTCAGGTGATTCTCCTGTCTCAGCCTCCTGAGTAGCTGGGACTATAGGCGTGTGCTGCCATGTCTGGCTAATTTTTGTATTTTTAGTAGAGACGGGGTTTCACCATGTTGGCCAGGATGGTTTTGATCTTCTGACCTCATGATCTGCCCTCCTCAGCCTCCCAAAGTGCTGGGATTACAGGCGTGAGCCACCACACCCAGCCTATGCTTATTTTTTCTTATGCCAGGCTCCCTGGCTCGAGAGCCTGTGCTTTTAATCATTACGCATGCTGCCTATCCATGCAGTTCACTACTCTCTCCCATGGCAATGGCAAACTTCAATAAATAAAAAATGGTCTCCTTTTCTGTAAAGCTTTGGTATTAGATCAGATTGTTTTACTATGCAACACTCCAGAAAGCCATCACAGATTAATTGTAGCGTGCATGGTGAAGTTGATCTCCTGTCCCTGATTGCTAAACTTTAAGCTCAATAGCAACAGGGAACATTTCTTAAATCTCTTTTTATTCTTGTACTTAGTATAATGCTTGCATATAATAGGAGCTTCATTTATATTTGTCATCAAGATGTTGATAGTGATTTGAAATTTGATCATTGCTAAAAGTTATTGTACAGTTTCCTTTCCTTCTTTCCTTTTCTTTTCTTTCTTTCTTTTTTTTTTTTTTTTTTTTGAGATGGAGTCTCACTCTGTTGCCCAGTCTGGAGTGCAATGGTGTGATCTCTGCTCACTGCAACCTCCACCTCCTGGTATTGTACAGTTTCATCAAAATTCTTCCTGCAAATCATCCTCCATTGGTTGGTTCATTTTGTTTTCCTAAGATTTAACTTATAAAATGCTGGTTTTATTTCTCCATATTTTCCTTTTCTAACATGATACTCTACAGTGGAAATCACAACTTTCTGTTCTTTAGTTAGCTCCTTGTCCTAGAATTATAACACATTGTTTGATTCCTGTTAAAAGACCAATGTTTGAAGAGTTGATAGTTGCATATAATGGATCATTGGTTTCTTTACAAATTGAGAATATATGTATTTTACAGTTAATGTCTATTCTTAGAAAAATGTCTGCTGTTTGACCTTACTAATCACTGTGAGACCTAACAAGCAAATGCAACAAAACCCAAAAATAGACAAATGGGACTTAATTAAACTAAAAAGCTGTGTGTGTGTGTCCATATATATATACACACACACATATCTCAACAGCGTGAACACACAGCCTGCAGAATAGGAAAAAATATTTGCAAACTATACATCTGACAAAGGACTAATATCCAGACTCTACAAGGTACTCAAATGACTCAACATGTAAAAACAAATAACTTCATTAAAAAGCAGGCAAGGATATGAGCGGACATTTTTCAAAAGAAGGCATTAAAATGGACAACAAGCATATGAAAAAGTGTTCAATGCAGCCAGTCATCAGAAAGGCATATTAAAACCACAATGAGATACCATCTTATACCAGTCAGGATGTCTGGCATTAAAAAGACAAAAAATAACAGATGTTGGTGAGGACATTGAGAAAAGGGAAATCTTGCACACCATTGGTGGGGATGTAAATTGGTGTAACCTCTATGGAAAACAATATGGCAATTTCTCAAAGAGTAAAAATACAACTACCATTTGATCCAACAATCCCACTACTGGGTATATACACAAAGGAAAAGAAATCATTATATCAAAAAATACCTTGGCTTGCATGTTTATTTATTGCAGCACTATTCACAATGGCAAACATATGGAATCAACCTCAGTGTCTATCAACAGATGGTTAGATAAAATGTGGTACATATACACCAGGGAATACTACTCAGCCATAAAAAGAATGAAATTATGTCTTTTTCAGCAACATGGATGAAACTGGAGACATTGTCCTAAGTGAAATACTCAGAAACAGAAAATAATATACTGCATGTTCTTACTTACAAGTGGTAGCTAAATAATGTGTACACATGGACACAGAGTATAAAATAATGGACATTGGAGACTCAGTAGTGTGGAAGGGTTGGGAGCAGGTGGGGGAAGATAAATTACTTAATGGGTACGGTGTACACTATTTGGGTGATGGCTACACTAAAAGGCCATACTTCACCACTATTGAGTACATCAATATAACAAAATTGTACTTAGACCCACTAACACTGTACAAATAAATAAATAGAAGCATTAACTTTATAAAAATCACTGTCATTTTATTTTTTAAAAATGATTTCCGGACAGGGGTCACTGTTCTATATACTAGTCAGGACTCTGCCTTGTTCACATGATTGGTTTTTACCATTTTATTTTGTTTAGAACAGTAAGGGCTTCTGCTTTGGATGTTAGTGAAAAGAATGGATGTTAAGTCTCTTTAGGCAACAGATAATGCAAAAATATTTTTATGGTTTCAATAACATTCCCAATGTTCATAACCATTGATAATTATCTGGCTGGAAAACATTAAAAATTATAAAGTATGTTTGTCTTATTTTATCTTTTGGCCAATGAAGAAAAAAAAGTACAAATCATGTTTATGTTACACATAGTAATATATTTATATATTTTGCTCTTTCTATTTTAATTCATTAAATTGACACCAAAAATAGTGCCTATAGTAGATCTATATTCCCTTAATTCAAGGTATGTAGATATTCCTCTAAGATTTCAAATGACACTGTACATTATGTGGCATAGTGATATCATGAGACAAGGACTAACATATATATATATGGTAGGGAATTATTGTTATGGTATTGGTAATAACCTCAGGTTTTCAAATAAATAGAATAAGGTATAAGATCAATTTGTTGGACCCTACTCCAGAAAGTTTGTTGCACTTTGAATTCTATTTTCTCATTATGTTTATCTGAATACATTCTGGGGAACAAGTATATCATTATAAGAAATAAATTACATGCATTATTTCAAGATATATAAAATCTGTTTAAAAAACCAACATGACATTCTATTTTATGAAATGGCTTATTCTCAAGCAAAAGGTCTCTGTTTTTTAGAAGTAGAAAAAATCTCATTATTATTGAGCTCAACAAACATTATGCAGCTTCTTTCAAAAATTCACTTCATGGGCTGGGCGTGGTGGCTCATGCCTCTAATCCCAGCACTTCGGGAGGCTGAGGCGGGTGGCTTATGAGGTCAGGAGATGGAGACCATCCTGGCTAACATGGTGAAACCCCGTCTCTACTAAAAATACAAAAAATGAGCCAGGTGTGGTGGCGGGCACCTGTAGCCCCGGCTACTAGGGAGGTTGAGGCAGGAGAGTCGAGTGAACCCGGGAGGCAGAGGTTGCAGTGAGCCAAGATCACGCCACTGCACTCTAGCCTAGGTGACAGAGCGAGACTCCATCTCAAAAAATATATATATAATATATATAACATATATAATATATAATATATAACATATGTTATATAATATATAACACATAATATATAATATATATAACATATGTAATATACAATACATAACATATATATAACATATAACATATATAATATATATAACATATACAATATATTGTATATAATATATAATATATAACATATATAATATATAACATACATAATATATAATATATATAACACATGTAATATACAATATATAACATAATATATATAACATATAACTATATAATAACATATACAATATATTGTATATAACATATATTATATAACATATATTATATATAACATATAATATATAATATATATCATATAATATATAATATATATCATATGATATATAATATATATCATATGATATATATTATATATAACATATGATATATAATATATATCATATAATATATATTATATATAACATAATATATATTATATATAACATATAATATATATTATATATAACATAATATATATTATATATAACATATAATATATATTATATATAACATAATATATAACATATAATATATATAACATATAATATATAATATATTATATATAACATATATATATATATATATTTTTTTCATGGAAGAGAAAACTCACCCTGTCTTGAGAGAGAAGACTCATCTTTTAAAATTGGTATAGGTGTTACAAAGTTCTTTCTTAGGTAAAACCAAAATGTGCTCCTTGTGATTTTTTTACCCTTTTTTTGCTGAAGCGTCAAAGGGCAAGCCTACCCTCTCTTTGACATAGCAACTGTTGTGAATGGATTATGACTTTTCTTAGGCTTCATTTCTTAAAGTTAATCTTTATCCCTTCACTTATTTTCCCTAGAGCACAGATGCCAGAGTGTTCTGGTTGCTTCAGTCTGGGTAATTGCTAGCGTATGTGTCATTTTTTAAATGTTGGCTGTGATGTTTTAATGTGGTGCTCATATTGAATATGGTACTGTAGATGTGGTCTTCCCAGATCAGAATAGAGCTGGGTATTCTACCTTTGAGTGATCTAGACATTGTGTTTCTATTAACCCAGAAAAACTTTGATTCAGATTGTTCTGATAGCAATATTCTACTGTTGGGTTTTCCATAAATGTATAATCACCCCAATGCCAACAAACACCTTGACCAATTATCCTAAATTTTTAAAAAGTTAATTTAGCACTTCACTTGAAATCTACTGGACGTTGTCTTCTACCACATAATCAGAAGCATTTTCATCATTTTTGTGGCTTCAGTGCATAGGAGAGGTTCTATTACATAGTGGCTGCTCATCAAATGTTTAAAAAATATTAATGAGTTTGATATCTTAGAATTTTCCTTTAATGTGTATTTTATCAGCATGGTTTTGATGGAGCAGTTAGAGCGGATTGTATAATTATGATTGCAGGCTCTATTCAATTCACTGACATAAATATCATGTAAGACAAGAACAGGGTTTGATGGCAATCTATCAGGGACTCCCTAAGGCTTCAATTAAATTCCACAAGCATTTATCAGAGCTATATATGCGGCAGGCCTGTGTAGTCATTAACAATATGCTGCCCTCGAAAAATACACAGGCTACTTTTACATGGCCCTATTAATCAACACTTATTGGGTACAGCGATACAACTAGCTGTTAATTCATCCATCCATACCATTATTTATATCTCATTTCACCTTCTACTTATAGAGCTATTATTAGAGATATTTGATGTAACAAGATAAACTATGCCTTCAGCATTTATTTGATCTGCCAACTTGAAAATACTATCAAGAAGACATTAGGATGGATTTTAATGATTCATTCTTAATAAAACCACCTCCATGAGACTGTATAGTTTTTTTATTATAAAGGCCCGTTTTTTGTTTGTTTGTTTGTTTTAATCAGTTCCTCCAACTATTGTCCTAGTGATCTTGGATAAGTTACATAAATTTTCTAACTTCAACTCTTTCTTCACTTGTAAAACATAGATACAAATAGCACATGTCTGAGAGAGTTGTTCGGTAGATAAAATAAGATAATCAACTATCTCAAGTCTGATTCCATGGGAAATGGATTCTGAGCCTCTGGGATTTGGATACAAGGGGTTAGTTGGAGAAATTTCAGGGAATCAACAGCTAGGAAGATTTGAAGGACTCTAGGAAATTTGAGATTTGTGTAGAGGGAGAGGCTGAACTGGTCTGCAACAGAAGTGGCAGATGATTCCACAGAGAACCCTGGAGCTGGGATATCTTCAGGTGCCTCCAATAAAGCAAGGGTGTGGTTCTTTGCAGTATTACCTGGACCAGTCATTGGATATAGGTAACTCCCCAGGAAGAAACCATAGCCTTGGGTAGACAGCTTCCTTAAACAGACAGGAATAGTAGAGAGGGACTCAACTGTGAGCTGTCAACAGTCAACTATGCTACCACTAGGTGTACAGGCTATTACAATGCCTGTTGCATGTTAACTGAATAATAAATACTAGCTATTATTGTTATACCTACTTATCTATTTCTTAATTTATTTATCTATTTACTTTTTAAGATCTTCTCATTTTGAATTATTCTTTGACCTCCATCAGAAATTATGCTAGTGAGTCCATTAAATTGATCAGTTCTCACTTTTCTTCTCTGAGAAAATTATCTGTTTGTTTTTTAAAGCTTTATTGATTCACAGTGGACCTACAATATATTGCACCTATTTAAGATGTAGAAACTAACAAATTTTCTCTCTCAAACACACATACACATACACCTGTGAAACCATCACTACAATCAAGGTATGGAACATTTCCATCCCTTCCAAAAGAAACCTCCTGCCGATTTGTAAATAACTACCCCTCTATCCCAGTCCCCAAGTAGTAACTGATCTGCTTTCTGTCACTATACACTAATTTGCCATTTTAAGAATTTTATATTAATGGGATTATACTTTTTGGGGAAAGGGGTCTGGCTTCTTTGAATCAGCATGACTATTTTGAGATTCATCCAAATTACAGTGTATAGTGTATCAATAGTTTATAGTTTTTATTGCTGAATGGTGTTCCTTTGCATGGGTTTACTGCAATTTGTTTATCCATTCACCTGTTCATAGATGTTAAGATTGTTTCAACTTTTTAGCTATTATAAATAAAGCTGCTATGAACATTCAGATATAAGCTTAGTACAGATATATCCTTTAGTTAGGAAAATATCTAGGGACAGAATGGTTTGTTCAGATATGTGATTTGCAAATATTTTCTCCATCTGTGTTTTGTTTTTTACAATATTTAACGATGCCTCTTGACGAACAGAAATTATGAAATTAAGTCTTGTTTATCAACTTTTTCTTTTATGGTTTATGCTTTTGGTGTTGTATCTAAGAAATTTTTGCCTAACTCAAGGTCAAAAAGGTTTTCTGTGTTTTTTGGCTTATTTAGGTGTATGAACCATCACTGATTTTTCTTCATAAGGTATAAATATCAAAGTTCATTTGTGGCATATTAATATCCAATTTTTCCAGCAGCATTTATTAAAAAGACCACCTTTTCTCCACAAAATTTGCCACTTTTCTACAAATAATATTTTATAAAACAGCCAAATAATGTTTTTTTTTAATAGCCAAGGCATCATTTAGTTTATATGTACCTTTTTGAGTGTGCTTTGTTAGTGTTTTTCTTTTCTTTTCTTTTCTTTTCTTTTCTTTTCTTTTCTTTTCTTTTCTTTTCTTTTCTTTTCTTTTCTTTTCGAGGCGAGTCTTGTTCTGTCGCTCAGGCTGGAGTGCAGAGTGCAGTGGCCCGATCTCCTCTCACTGCAACCCCCGCCTCCCAGTAGCGATTCTCATCCCTCAGCCTCCCGAGTAGCTGGGCCTACAGTCGTGTGCCACCATGCCCGGCTAATTTTTGTAGTTTTAGTAGAGATGTGGCTTTATGGTGTTGCCCAGGCTGATCTCGAACTCCTGACCTCAAGTGATATGTCCACTTTGGCCTCCTATAGTGCTAGGATTACAGGCGTGAGCCGCCGCACCTGGCCGGTAGTGTACATCTTTCAGGGAATCATTTCATCTAAATTGTCAATTATTGGCATACAATTATTAAAAATTTTCATTTTAATGCTTTGCCTATATATAGAATCTGTGATAACATCATCTTTCTCATTTTTTTAATTGGTAATTAGTGTCTTCTCTCTTTTTTTGTTGATCATAGTTTGTCCTATTGATCTCAAAATAATGGCTTTTGGTTTCATTAATTTTTAAAATCATTTTTCTGTTTTCTTTTTTGTTGTTGTTGTCTGCTCTGATCTTTGCAATTTCTTATAATTTCTTTGGAATTAATTTGCTTTTTTAGTTTCTTAAGGTAGAAACTGAGATCACTGATTTGAAGTATTTCTTCTTTTCTAATATAGGCATTTGCTGCTTTATATTACTATTTAAATACTGCTTTAACAGTGTCCCAAGGGCCTGCATATGTTGAGTTTCAATTTTTATTTATTTACTTTTAAAAAATCGGTAAGTTTAAAACATTTTCCAAATATCTGGGATCGTTTAGATATCTCTGTTACTGATTTCTAATTAAATTCCACTGGGGTCAGAGAACATACTTTGTACAATTTAATTTTTTAAAATACCAGTGAGTCTTATTTGTGGTCCAGAAAATGGTTCATTTTATTAAACATTCTGTGTGCAATTGGAAAGATTGCATATTCCGCTTCTGTTGAGTGTGCTATACACCTCAATTAGGTCAAGCTGGTTAATAGTATTGTTCTTTATGTCCTTTCTGATTTGTATTCTATTTTTTTGAGAAGGTGGTGTTGAAATCTCCAACTATAATTGTAGATTTCTCTATTTCTCCTTGCAATTGTATCAGATTTTACCTATTTTGAAAATCTGTTATTAGGTGCATAAGTATTTGCAAGTATTATCTTCTCTCAATGTATTGATTCTTTTTTTGAAATTATGAAATGACACTTTATCCCTTTTAATAATTACAGACATTACTTGTCTGATGTTAATATAGTCATTCAAGCTTTCTTTTGTTATGGTTAACATGATATATCCTTTTCCATCCTATGACTTTTACCGTATTTATGTTCGTATACTTAATGTGTAATTCTTTTAGGCAGCACGTCATTCATGTGTTTACATAGTTTATAGATTTTAATGTAATCTGACAACATCTACTTCTCTATCTGTGTATTTAGATTGACATTTAACATGAATGTTAACATGATGATTTCAAATCTAATGTCTTGCTTTTTGTTTCCTATTTGTGTCATCTGTTCTTTATTACCTTTGTTTTCCTTTCCTGACTCTTTCAGCATCAGTAAATTTTTAATAGTTTCATGTTATCTCCATTAGTGTCTTATAAACTAAATTTCTTTGTTATGTTGTTAGCTACTTTTATTGTCTGTAGTATACGTCTTCAAATTGTCAGAGTCTACTTTTGTGTGATAATTATACCACTTCACATATAGTGTATAAACTTTATAATAGAATACTTCAATTTTCTGCTTTGTCCTGTTGTCATACAGTCTAATTGTTATAACAGTCTCCCTGTCATAACTGAAAAGTTCATTGTTGCTATTTTTACTTAAAGCAGTCAAATGTCTTTTAAAGCTGTATAAGCATTAAGAAAAAGTATTAAAAAATAAATTTATACATGCAGGTACCATTTCCAGTGTCCTTTGTTTTTGTATAGATACATATGTGCAGATAGCATTATTTCCCATTACCTTCAGATATTCCTTTACTCCTTATAGTGTAAGGCTGATGCTGATGAATCCTTTTGCCATTTTTTACATCTGAATAATTTTTATTTTGCCTTCATCCTTGAAAGCTATTTTTTTCTGGTCATACAGTTATAGGTTAAAGGGTTTTCTTTTTTTGTCCTCTCTGTATGCCACTGTGTTCTGCCTGCCATGGCTTGCAATGAGAAGCATTCTTTCATTCGTAATTTTTTTTTTTTTTTTCTGGAGACAAAGTCTCGCTCTGTTGCCCAGACTGGAGTGCAGTGGTGCAATCTCGGCTCACTGCAACCTCCGCCTCCCGGGGTTCAAGCGATTCTCCTGCCTCAGCCTCCCAAGTTGCTGGGATTACAGGTGCTCACCACCATGCCCAGCTAATTTTTGTATTTTTAGTACAGACAGAGTTTCTCCATGTTGGCCAGCCTGGTCTTGAACTCCTGACCTCAGGTAATCTGCCCACCTCAGCCTCCCAAAGTGCTGGGATTACAGGTGTGAGCCACCACGCCCGGCCAAACTCTCTCTCTCTTTTTTTTTCTTAAATGGCTATATGATTTTTCTCTTTATCACCAATTTTAAGTAATTGGTTATACTGTATCTTGGTTTATTTTTCTTCTTTTTCTTTTCTTATTGTGGTTCTGAAAGTTTATGGCACTTTTCTGGTCTGAAGACTTAGAGTATTTATCACATCGGAAAAAGAATTGGCCATTATTCTCTTAAATATTTTTCTGTCCTCACTCTCTTTCCTCTCTTTGGAGGATTCTAATTAAATGTATACTAAACCCATAGATTTTTCCCAGTGATCACTGAAACTGTGTTTTGTTTTTCTTTTCCCCTATCTGTTTCGAGTTTTCTATCATTATGTCTTCAAGTTTACTGACTCATCTGTTTTCTAACCCATCCATGCATTTGTCATCTCAGACGCTGCAGTTTTAATCTCTGAGTGGTCTTTCTATATCTTATTTGTTTCTACTTTTAACCCTTAATATTTTTTCCAGCTTCTTGAACATATAAATTACACTTATTTCAGTTTCATTCATTTTTTCTACTGATTCTATGATCTCTTCTAGGGTTGTTTTTGATCGGTTGAATTTTTCCCTCTTTTTTTTTTTTTTTTTTTTTTTTTTTTTTGCTTTTTTTGGATTCCTGGTAAATTTTTATTGGGTGCCATTGTGGCCCATTGTGGCCTTTACATTGTTGGGTTCTGTCTTTCCCTGCACCCTTCCTCCCGCTCTTTTAAATACTTTTCAAGTCTGGTCTAGCTTGTAGTAAAGTTCTTTAAAACAGGTTGTTACTTTTTTGCTTGCTTTTAAGCTTTGTTGGGCCATATCAGAGCAGTGTTTGTCTGGGGCTGGATTTCTGCTCTCCTGAGGCAAAAGCCTGCTGAGTATTCTTTTTGGTGTAGCATGAATTATTTTATTTTTCTAATATTTCTGTTGTGAACAGAACTATTCCTGGTCTGTGTAATCCCCCAGGGATTGTTTCATTATATTTGTCTTTGGAGAACTCTAGCTGCCTTGCCCTCCCCAGAAACCAGCTTCATCCCCTCAACTCAGGAATATCACCAGGTTCTATGTATATTCTCTCTCCTTGTGCCATGGTGTGAGAGCTCTCTGTAAGCAATACCCTTTTGCTATCCTAGAGCGCATCTCACCCTTTTCTCCATGTCTTGCGTCACTCTTCTTTATTACCCATTGTCCAATGTCTTGAATGCTGATGTTTTATATAATTTTCCAGTTTTTCAGTTATTTCACGTAGGAAGATAAACCTGGTTCCTATCACTCTGCTTTGGGCTGAAAATGAATTAACAATGTCTTGGCTTCTTTTCCTTACTTAATAAACTTTTTCATTTAGATGCAGTTTTAGGTTTAAAGAAAAATTTAACAGAAAGTACCAAGAATTTCCCCATATTCTATTCTTCTCATCACCACCTTTTACACACAGTTTTCCATTATTAACATCTTGCATTAGTGTGGCAAATTTGTTACCATTAAAGAACCAATATTGTTACATTATTAGGTACTGAAGTCCATAGTTTACATGAGGGTGTATTCTTGTCTTCTACAGTTCTATGGGTTTCACAAATCCATAATGTCATGAATCCACCATTATAGTATCAAACAGAATCATTTCACTTCCTACAAATCTCCTGTGCTTTGCCTATTCATCCTTACTTCCTCTCCTCAGCCACTGGTAACCACTGACCTTTTTTACTGTCTCCACAGTTTTGCCTTTTCTAGAATGTCATAAAGTTGGAATTATACAGTATGTATAATTTTCAGATTGACTTCTTTCACTTAGTAGTATGTATTTAAGATCCCTCCATGTCTTTTCATGGCTGATCACTCCTTTTAATTCTATCACTGATAATATTCCATTGTCTGGATGCACTACAGTTTGTTTATACATTCACCTAATAAAGGCCATCTTGGTTACTTCCAAGTTCTGGCACTACGTATAATTGCAAAAATTTGGAAGCAACCAAGAACAGTTTTTCGTATGCTTATTTGCCATCTGTATATTTTCTTTGGAGGGGTGTCTGTTTAGATCTTTTGGCCATTTTCAAATTGGCTTGTTTGATTAGTTATTATTGGGTTTTAAGACTTTTTGTATGTTTTGGATATACCATTATTAGACATGTTTTGCCAACATTTTCTCCCAGTCTCTGGCTTGTATTTCCATTCTCTTAATAGTGTCTTTCACAGACTAGGTTATAACGTTTATGAAATACAACTTACCAATTTTGTCTTTCATGAATTGTGCATTTGGTGTTATATTTAAGAAAAATCATTGCCAAACCCAAGGTCATCTGGATTTCTTTCTTTTTTTTTTTTTTTTTTTTTTTTTTGAGACAAGAGTCTCGCTGTGTCACCCAGGCTGGAGTGCAATGGCGCGATCTCAGCTCACTGCAAGCTCCGCCTCCCGGGTTACGCCATTCTCCTGCCTCAGCCTCCCGAGTAGCTGGGACTACAGGTGCCCGCCACCTCACCCGGCTAATTTTTTGTATTTTTAGTAGAGACGGGGTTTCACTGTGTTAGCCAGGGTGGTCTCGATCTCCTGACCTCATGATCCGCCTGCCTCAGCCTCCCAAAGTGCTGGGATTATAGGTGTGAGCCACCGCGTCCGTCCTAGATTTTCTTCTAAATTATCTTTTATGAGTGTTAAATTCTTGCATTTTACTTTCAGTTTCAAAATCCATTTTGAGTTAATTTTTGTGAAAGGTCTAAGGTCTGTGTCTAGATTCATATTTTAGTATGTGGATGTTCATTTGTTCCAGGTACCTTTTGCTGTAAAAATTACCTTTACTCCATTACATTGCCTTTGCTCTTTTGTCAAAGATCAGTTGATTATATTTGTGTGGATCTATTTCTGGGCTCTCTATTCTGTCCCATTGATCTATTTGTCTATTCTTTTGCTAACACCACACTTTGAGTTTTGTAGCTTTGCAGTAAATCTTGAATTCATGTAGTTTCAGCTTTTGACTTTGTTCTTCTCTTACATATGTGTATTGGCTATTCTTGGTCTTTTGGGTCTCCACATAAGCTTTAGAATGTTTGTCGATATCCACAAAATAACTTGCTGGAATTTTAGATAGGGGTTGACATGAATCTACAAAGTTGGGAAAAACTAACACCTTGACAATATTGAGTCTTCCTATTTATGAACATGAAGTAGCTCTCCATTTACTTAATTCTCTTTGGTTTCCATCTCCAAAGATTGGTAGTTTTTCTCATATATCTTATACATATTTTGTTAGATTTACATCTAAGTGGGGTTTTTGTTTTTGTGATAACATAAATGGAGTTGTATTTTAAATTTCAAATTCGAATTGTTCATTGCTGGCATGTTAGAAAAGAATTGACTTTTTTATGTGTATAAATTTATGGGGGTACAAGTGTAATTTTGTTACACACACAGGTTGTATAGTGGTGAAATCAGGGCTATTAGTGTAACTATCATCTGAATAATATACAATGTATCCAGTAAGTACTTTCTCGTACTTTCCTCCCCTCCCACTCTCCTAACTTTTTGTGTCTCCATTGTCTATCATTCCAGGCTCTATGTCCATGTGTACAATTATTTAGTCCCCACTTATAAGTGAGAATATGCACTATTTGTCTTTTTGTGTCTGACTTGTTAGACTTAAGATAATGGCCTCCAATTCCATCCATGTTGCTACAAAAGACATAATTTCATGCTTTTTATGGCTGAATAGTATTCCATTGTCTGTATATACCACATTTTCTTTATCCAGTCTTCTGTTGATGGACACTTAGATTGATTCCATATTTTTGCTACTGTGAATAAAGCTGTGATAAATACACAAATTCAGGTATTTTTTAAAAAATATAATAGTTTCTTTTCCTTTGGATATATACCCAGTAGTGAGATTGCTGGATCAAATGGTAGTTCTATTTTTAGTTCTTTGAGAAGTCTCTACACTGTATTCCATAGAAGTTGTACTAATATACATCCCCACCAATTGTGTATAAGTGTTCCCTTTTCTCTACATCTTCATCAGCATATTTTTTGACTTTTTAATGAGCCATTCTTACTAGAGTAAGATGATAGCTCATTGTTTTAATTTGTGTTTCTCTAATAAGTAGCGATGTTGAGCATTTTCTTCATATGCCTGTTATCCGTTTTTATGCCTTCTTTTGAAAAATGCCTGTTCATGTCTTTTGTTGTTGCTGATGTTTTTGTTCTTACCTTGTTCCTCCAACTTTTAATATAATCACTTGTAAGTTATATTAGCTTTTTTTGATTCCACTAGATTTTTTATATAGAAAATCATGTCATCTGCAAATAAATACAATTTTCTTTTTTACCTTTCAGTAAGGAATAATTTTTATTTATATCTTGACTCATTTGCCTGATTAGACCCCTAGCACAGTTGCATAGAAATGGCTAAAGAGGACTTGTTTTTTTTTTCTGACCTTAGAAAAAATGTATTCAGCATTTCATTACTATTATATTTGTTGTATAATTTCTGTAGATATTCATTTTCAAGTTGAGGAAGATTTATTCTAGTCTTAGCTCTCTGAGAGTTTTTTGTTGTTTAGTTAGAAGTGGGTGCTGTCTATCAAAAGGTCTTTTTGTATTTATCGAGATTTTTTTTTTATCTTGTTAGTATAGAAAATTACATTGGTTGATTTTTTAAAATGTTAACAATGTCTCACATTCCTGAGATAGACTCCAGTTACTTGTAACATATTATCATTTCTATATTATTAGGTTCCATTTGTTCATGTTTGCTTAAGAATATTTGCATCTAAGTCCAAAAGAGATTTTGGTCACTCTCAAGCTTGAGCACCTTGAGGTTTCCTTGTGTTTGTCCCCAGGCTAATCAGTTATCTCAGTTACATGTGACAGAACCCCAAATCTAACAAGCTTAGTTAAAAAGGGGATATATTTTCTCATATGAAGGGCAGGGATACATCACAGAGAAAACTAGAATCAGAGACATGAACCCCTTAGAATTTTTCCCAACCCTCCTCTCTGTTCCTTTTGCATGCTGGTTCAATTCTCTCACATGGATCCCCTCTAAGGTACTGGATCTTAGAGTACAATAACTCTCAGGTGTACGTCTTCCATTTCACCACAGTGATAAACCCATTCTTTCTTTAGGGCTAATTTGTGATATTCTGTGCAAGGACTCTGTTTAGCTCAATATTTGCCTAAACCTGTGCTGGAAGAGAAAGTGTAAGAATGTTAGTAGCCCCTTACTCCTGCAGGAACTTAGATGTGGATAGACATTTCTCAAAAGAAGGAGACATATGTATCCCAGGAAAATAAGAAAGAGGAGAAGGGCCAGAGGCTAGACAGAATATTAGATATGTATGCCAGTCCCATAGGCTATTTTTTTAAGACATATTGTTGCTACTGTTATTAATAACAGCTTCAGGCCTGGCGTGGTGGCTCACACCTGTAATCCCAGCACTTTGGGAGGCCAAGGTGGGCAAATCACCATGGGTCAGGAGTTCGAGAACAGCCTGGCCAACATGGTGAAACCCTGTCTCTACTAAAAATACAAAAATTAGCTAGGTATAGTGGTGGGCGCCTGTAATCCCAGCTACTTGGGAGGCTGAGGCAGGAGAATCGTTTGAGCCTAGGAGGCGGAGGTTGCAGTGAGCAGAGATCACGCCGCTGTACTCCAGCCTGGGTGACAGAGTGACACTCCATCTCAAAAAACAAAACAAAACAAACACAAAACTTCATTTGTTGAGTACTTACTATCCACTTTATATAATCTTATTTAGTACTTGCAACATTAGGGTTAAGTTACACATTCAAGACCAGGGTTAAGTTACACATTCAAGGATAGATGCTGCCTACTAAGTAGCTAAGATTTGAGAGCAAGTCTTTTTGTCTCTGTCTATGCTCATGATCCTATCACACTGCACTGCTTCTAAAAGACTTTAGAATTGACGTTCTGCATACTATTATGATAATAATTCCTCTTATCTTCAATATTTTTATCACAAATGGGGAGCATAGTATTCTAATATAAAATCTCTATCTTTTAAAATTATGAAACAAGCATTACATCTTTATTCATGCTTTAATCAGGAAGTGAGATAAACTTTCTGTTTATTTTGTTTTTGCTTTGTTACTCTATAATTTACATTACTCACATAAAGACAATTGTTAAATAATAATGAGAAAAGGGAAAAAGAATAAACTTTTACCAAGAACTTACTATTTCCAGATATTTTATGTATAATATTTCTTAATATTCAAATCAACTTTGTGATAAGCAAGTACCACCTAAATATGAGAAAGCTGCCCCAGAGAGTTTAATGAGAAAGACTCATGTATTTACTCATCCAATCAATCGTTAAAACTTAAACAATTATTGTGTACAAATCACACTGACTCCATCATTGTTGCAAACACAAATAGCACAGGATCCCTCCTCTGAAATATTTCACAATCTGTTGTGGAAGACAGATAAGTGAACCAAAACCTTCCATGCAGTGTAAGGGAGACTGAGCTAGAGACCCTGAGAGAGAGTTCAGGACACACGTGCATCCAAGACCCACCAGGCCTCCCAGGACAGGCAGTAACTGAGCTTAACCCTGGAGGTCACCGAGAAGATAGCCAGGAAGAGAAGTGGGGTTGGGTTGGGTGAGGGAATCTGCGCAGGTTGTTTTAAGCAGAAAGAGGGTACATGATAAAAGAGGAAGTATATAAAAGTGAATGAGGAAGACTGAACACCTGAAAATATTTAAGTCCCTATTGCAACTGGATGAATCTAGATGACAAAAGACTTTTACGTCTACCTAGTTTTTCTCTTTGTGTCCTGACTAGAATTATAAAGGATAAAGAACTTTCCCCGAGGGCTAGGAGCTCTAGAATTTCATTTTGTTCTCCTGGTTAGGAGCTTTTATGATGAAAAATAACTCCACATTCATGCATTTTTTTTTTCTTACAGACATTGAGGAAGTTTTTTTATAGCCCAGGTCGTTTTGATTACTTAAAGGAGAGGATCCTCTCTTCCTATCTACTGTATATAGTTTATGCAAGCAAGGATTTGTGGTATAAGATGCTAGAACATACAGTGAGGACACATCTGGACTTAAAGTAGAGTATAGGCTACCTGGCTGTCAAGGGTGGCCGGAGCCATGTGGAAATTTACAACTTAATCAGTAAGCTTTAGATTATAAAGTGTAAAGAACTCCCAAAGCTGACACCAGGTCTTGCAAGGTGCCCCCACACCCCCCGTTAAAAGAAAGAAAAAAGCTTCCCATTGTGCCTTTCTTCATAATGATATTGCTCATTGTGGAATATAGATTGTTATAGTGTTAGGGATACTCAATGGACAAGAAGGAATAATATTATAACTATTACGCTCAACTATGAAATATTTGATAAAATTTACTACTCAGACATGGGTTTGTTATCAATAGGCTTTCAGAAGACAAATAGAATCTCCCAAGATATTATGAGCTCAACTAATCTTTGCCTTCCTTATGTTGTTTAGGGGCCATAGTGAAGCTCAAACAATAAAAGATAGGTGATGTGTGGTGGAGTTTAAGAAGTAGGTTAGAAAGAGAGAAATAAGACATGAGGCTAGAGTGATTCTAAATAGTCTGACTTGAAGGAACATAGATGTTGTATTGGTGAGTTTGGACTATTTAACCAAGAATAGGAGTGTGGCATTTTAATCAGAAGAAGCACTGAGTCATATAGGAATTGGAAACCAATCAGTCTAGCAGAGTGGTTCCCAATCTTTCCTGCCTGTTAGAAACACCTGGAGAGCTTTAAAAAGTCCAAATGGCAGGTCACACCCCAAAACAATTAAATCGGAATGTCTAATAGTAGGAGGCAGTCATCAGTGTTTTATTTAGCATAGAAATATGGGCATAAGCCCTCTGCAATACTGACAATACATTTGTACATAAAGTTTGAACCTGTGTCAAATCCCATCTGAAGAAACATTTACTGCTTGGGCTGAAGTTATAGGCCCAGTGAGCAAGTTTCCAAGAAGACCTATTAAGTGAATTCATTTGTCCATCAGAGCATTCACATCTTACACAAAGAATTTGGAGCAGTTGAGTTCTTAAAAATATTTCTGAACCTCTAATCAGACACAAATAGCAAACCTATTTGCTCCCATTGAAAAGCTGCTAAAAGACTCGTGAGTGTGTTTTTTTTAACCTATATTTTTACAACATTTCAGTCTGGCTCAGAAATGCTATAGAAATGAGTTGAAAAGTGGATGTTTATGGCTCATATGCAGAATCTTGCTATTTATGTGTAATGTTTCTGTAAGCTTCCAGCAGTTTCATATGAGGTGGTTGTGGCTTTTCTTAACTATATTGTGATTATCCATCTTTGGGATGTTTTGATACTTTTCCACAAAAGGGAAATTTATCTGCGGTATATGAACTTCCTACATCTCTGAGATAAAGTTTGAAAAATGTAAATTCATGTGAGAACCGCTGACATATTAAGGGTATATTATTTTGTTTCAGGTCTTGTAAGTCTACCAGAAGACATGCGTATTGGCCTACAAAGGGTAGAACATTTTTTGGAAGGTTTACTACTGTTTTGTGATCTTAATGACAGATATTTAAAAATGGCTTTCAGCTTTCCAAGTTAGCTCCAAACAACTCAAAGTGATTTTCTATTCTGGCCTATCTTACTTCATTGAGATCCAATTCACTGTGTAAAACAGCAGGAAATTCTAATTGTTGCAATGGGTGCTGTCTTGACCCAATGAGATTAGTCTCAGATTTATTCCCTTTATTGTGCTTTTTTGTTTATTGAATTAACTCCCATGGAGAAAGATCACTATATTTTGGATAAATAATTTTTGGCAATAAAATTTGCTTTTATGAAATGTAAGCAATTTTAGGAATTGCCCCATTGCACCCATGATGAACCAGTGAACAGGAAGTTCACTTCATCCATTTATCCAACCATCAAATTTTTTTTTTTTTTTTTTTTTTTTTTGAGACGGAGTCTCGCTCTGTTGCCCAGGCCGGACTGCGGACTGCAGTGGCGCAATCTCGGCTCACTGCAAGCTCCGCTTCCCGGGTTCACGCCATTCTCCTGCCTCAGCCTCCCGAGTAGCTGGGACTACAGGCGCCCGCCACCGCGCCCGGCTAATTTTTTGTATTTTTAGTAGAGACGGGGTTTCACCTTGTTAGCCAGGATGGTCTCGATCTCCTGACCTCATGATCCACCCGCCTCAGCCTCCCAAAGTGCTGGGATTACAGGCGTGAGCCACCGCGCCCGGCCCAAATATTTTTTAACTGCAATAGACTTGGTAAATAAACTTCCCTGGCTACTTTATTTGTCAGCATACAGAGAGATTGGCTGGGACATTAGTGAGCATTGGACAGGTTTATAAGGATAACAGCAAACATGTTGATACAATTTTCAACCCTGAAAACTCTGGAATAATTTGTTTGAGATTTTTCTCTTCCTACTAGTTCTTCCATGTCTTCCTCCCCCTAGGCACTGTCAAAAACCACCATTAACTCTACTCCAATCACAATCACCCTATCTTTCTGGTTGTAACTGACCTATTTATTGAAATGGCCACTGTAAGACCCCTATCCAATACTTGGATCCTACCCTCAAATATTTTGATTTAATTTGTAGGGCCCATCTCTCCAAGTGATTGAAAGTGAGGCTAGGACTGAAAACCACTCTGCTGGTTTCAAAGGATGACAGAGATGCTCTAGCAGAATTTGAAAAGTTTCGAAGGAAATAAAACATTTCTTTTGCATACTCATTGCCCTGTGGTTTGCATACAGTATTGGGCTCAGACATAAGTTCTAATCTTTGTACCTTTGCTTTCTGTATAAAGTATTGGACACAGACATAAGTTCTAATCTTTGTACCTTTGCTTTCTGTCATTCATAGTTAGGAGCATCTTCCTTGTCCTCAATCTCAGTTCAAATTCTATGTATGCCATGTGCTGTGGCTTGAATGTTGGTGTTGCCCGAAAATTCATAGGTTAAAAACCTAATTCTCAATGCAATACTATTAAGAGATGGGGCTTTTAGGATGTGCTTAGGTAATGAGTGAAGAACCATGTGGATGAGATTAGTACCCTTACAAACTAAGCCAAAGGGAGTCTGTTCCCCCCTCTACCTTATGACGATTCAGCAAGAAGTCACCATCTTTGAGGAACCGACCCTTACCAGATACTGAATCTGTTTCAGTACCTTGATAGTGGACTTTCCAGCCTCCAGAACTGTGACAAATAAATTTTTGTTATTAATAAGCTACCCAGTTTATGGTGTTTTTGTTATAACAGCCCAAAAGTACAGACACCTGTTGTTAGGAGCCCCTGGTAAATTACTTAAACTCTCCATGTCTCTGATTGGCAAAGTGGAAACAATGAACATATATCTCAGGGTTCTTGTGCGGTTTAAATAAATGAGATCAGTGTATAAAATCCATAGCAATATGCAAGTAGCCCCTGCTATTGAAGTAGAAGAAGTAGGAGCAGCAATATTTACCAGTCATGTATAACTTTGCATTCCTCTGAGACAGTATTTGGGACAGTTTTTGCAAATTAAACAAGATGTTCAAGTATTTTTATTACTCAGAAAAAGCTTTAGAATTGAAAATGTTCTATAGGTCACCAATTTCAAGCTTTATTAAATTCTGAAAATGTAGAATTTTAAAGTTGAGGATCTTCACAAACAAAAATCCAAAATGCTTTAATGCTTTTTCTCCTGTGTACAAATGGCAGAAGTCTGAAATCATTTGCCAACATGATAAACTGAGAGAGATCTGTTCTCTGAAGTCATCAGAAATAATCAAGGCTAAGTTTTATCTAGCTGATAGTGTTCTGTCCCATTTACTTCTTGGTTCTCCACATTAAAATAAATGCTTGGGGGTCCTTTGAATCATGTATTCTAGAAAGACCCTGCAGAATGTTAGTGCACACGTGCAGTGCCAAGCAGGGAGCCTGAGTGGGTAAGCTCCAGCAGCTCTACCAGCTGCTGTACAGACATGGCCTTCAAATGGAAATTTAAGGGAAGAACAGAGTTATGCAGTTTATAGATTTGTACATGTCTCCTGTAATTCAAATTTATTGCTGGGGATTATGACTATTTCCATGTGTATCAAATTTGTGCTACAATCCAGATTTGCAAAAGAGATGAATTGCAGGATAATTTTTTACTTTATAAAAGAAAATTATACCATATAAAATAGAACACACTGCAAATTACTTTAAATAATAACAGATAATGCAGCATAGAGGAAAGGGAATAAATGCGGAAACCAGAAACTCAACTCGAATTCCAGCGCCATCGCTTATTACCTATGTTACCTGATGCAAATTACGAATTTCTCTGAACTTGAGATTTTCAGTAAAAAAAGGGAGCTTATAATAACAGTCTCAGAAGAGTGTTGACAAAATTAGTTATCAAATCACCACTTGTGAAGTACCTAGCATAATGCAAAGCACAAAACAAATTATCAGTATAGAGATTTGTTGATTTGTTTCCATCCCATTTACACCCTTTTTTCTTCATTTGGTTCAAATAAAGTGCAACATTCCATCCCTCTTTTCTTTTCTTTTCTTTTTTTTTTTTTTTTTTTGAGATGGAATCTCGCTTTGTCACCTAGGCTGGAGTGCAGTGGCATGATCTTGGCTCACTGCAACCTCTCTCTCCTGGGTTCAAGTGATACTTCTACCTCAGCCTCCCGAGTAGCTGAGATTACAGGCACATGCCACCACATGCAGCAAGTTTTGTATTTTTAGCAGAGATGGGGTTTTGCCGTGTTGGACAGGCTGGTCTCAAACTCCTGACCTCAGGTGATGCAACTGCCTTGGCCTCCCAAAGTGCTGGGATTACAGGCATGAGCCACCATGTCCAGCCTCTTCTTTCATTTTATTTCAAGGCTCATTTGCAAATGAGCCTTAAAATATTTTAGGAAATATTTTAGGGAATAGGGTACTATTTTAAGAAAGAGGGTACCCATGCAACTAATCATAAACATTGTTGAAAGTAATAAATGCTGTTAAAAGCTCCTCAGGATAGATGAGACAAGAGTAGAAAGATAGATAAAGAAAACTGAGAACAGCCTTTAGACTGTGTAGGCTTCTCACAGGATCTGATCTTTGTAGACCGTATTTTGATCCAATACCCGTTAGCACTTCTATGCACGGGACATCTGCCTGGGAGATTAGTGTTTGGGAGGAAGCCTGTTGGCAACAGAGGATTACATGAGAACAGTGAACTCATTGGTCAAAGTGGACTGGGAGTGGATGGTACAGGAGCGTGAGAAGCTCCCAAATCAAGAGAGATGAGAGAACAGAGGATGAGGTAGCATAGATAGCTTCCTCACAGTTGCTAAAGGCTGCTTTCCACTGTCTGTACATGACCTTTTTATTGACAAAGTTGTGTAAATATTTCCTATATTACTCTTTAATCTATAATGAAAAAGATAGCATTGAAACTGCATGTGAGCATCATGATCAAGTCAAGGAGTTAAGTCAACTTATCCTAAGCATAAAACGATTGGGGATTAGAATATTATCAAATATGGAAGACAGATGGAGTTTACCCACAGTTTTGTACAGAACCAAGCCTTTTGGGCAGGAACTGCAGAAATTGCAGACAAAATCTGGCTTGCTGGTTCATAGGCATAAGACACTTCAGATGTGTTTATGTGTCTTACATACTAAGTAGGAATATATATATATATGTGTGTGTACGTGTGTGTGTGTATATATATATAAAACATTTCCAAAAAATGTGTAATTAAAAAATGAATATATATTGTCTAAAGTGAATTACAGACCTAGGGTCACTATCATGCCTAGAAAATATGAGATCTTTATGCCTTTGTTGAATTTGTCATATCTTCAACTGGGATTCTGATTTGAGAGAGAGGGATTCTTTGTGAACTTTTTACCAGTTACAAGAAAAAGAAAATGAAAAGAACAATAATAAAAATTTAACAAACATTTTTTGTAAGGCTTACAATGTACTATCAATCATTGCACTGAGTGTTTTACATACATTCTCTAATTTAATCTTCATGAAACTATGTAAGATCAGTATTATGTATACATATGTCAATGACTGTTATTATTACTATTCTAATTTTGCAAACAAGAGGAGTGCTTAGACGAATTTGATTTAATTTTTGACAGTCAGGGTTGAAATTCCAGTATGTTGATCTGCAGAACCTGAGCTGCCAACTACCACGATATTCATCTTCTAAATCAGGGGATGGCAAAGCTTTTCCTGTAAAGGGTTAGATATTAAATACTTCAGTTTTCGTGGGGCGTGTGGTTTCTGTTGCAACTACTTGGCACAGCTGTGATAACACAAAAGCAGCCATAGATAGTACATAAAGGAATGAGTATGCCTGTGTTTCAATAAGCTCATTTACGAAAACACGTGGCATCCTGGCTTTGGCCCACAGGCTGTACTTTGCTGCCCCTTGCCCTAGAGCAGCACTGAGCCTTCTGCAATGACGAAATGAATGTTCTACATCTGCACTGCCAAACATAGTAGTCATTCGCTGCCTTTGGCTGTCCAGCACTTGAAATGTGGCTACTGTGAATGAGGAGCTGAATTTTAAATTTTATTTTACATTAATTAACTTAAATTTCCATGCAAATAGCCACATCTGCCTAGTGGCTACAGCATTAGACAGGTTAGATATAGATACTGGCATATAAGGCAGTTCTAGCTATCATGGAATAGATTAGCAAAGATTAAACTGAAGCTCTTTTTAAAATGTCACTTCAAAGGACAAATAAAATAACCAGTTATAAAGCATACAGGGAAAAGAAAAAAATCAGCATAAAATGATTTAAATCAGAATTGTTATCTCAGCCTCTTCTCAAACTTTTTTTTTCAGATTACTATAATTTTTTTCTCTGTTCGTTCTGTCATACACAGCACTTCCATTAAAAAACACAGCTTTTTCTCTCTGGGTCCATACAGAGTCAGGAGCATTATCTACTCTTTTCTTTTGAAGTTCAGCATACTGGGGTTCCATTCTGAGCTTCACAACTATCAGCTGTGTGACCTTTGGGCAAGTAATTTCTTCATCTGTAAAACTAAGCTATTATTACTTTTATCTTTCTTTGAAAAGTTTTGAGAATTACTTGAAGTCCTAAGTTAGAAATGGCCAGGATTATGAGACACAGTAGGTGACTTACTAATATAAAGTTCATTTGCTTTTTTTCCTTCACCCTAAATTCATGTTATAATGTTAATTTGATTTCACACTGTTTTAAACCACTTCCTAAATCAAGTTAACAAGCTGGATGATCCTCGTCCTTTCAGTTTTTTAGTTGCTGATACTTTGTTCAAGGATAAGTTATTGACATTCTTCTTCTATTTTTAAAATTTAAGTTCTGGGATACATGTGCAGAACATGCAGGTTTGTTACGTAGGTATACACGTGCCATGGTGGTTTGCTGCACCCATCAACCCGTCATCTACATTAGGTATTTCTCTGAATGCTGTCCCTCCCCCAGCCCCCCACCCACCGACAGGCCCTGGAGTGTGTGATGTTCCCCTCCCTGTGGCCATGTGTTCTCATTGTTCAACTCCCACTTATGAGTGAGAACATGTGGTATTTGGTTTTCTGTTCCTGTGTTAGTTTGCTGAGAATGATGGTTTCCAGCTTCATCCATGTCCTTGCAAAGGACATGAACCCATCCTTTTTATGGCTGCATAGTTTTCCATGGTATATATAAGCCACATTTTCTTTATCCAGTCTATCATTGATGGGCATTTTTGTTGGTTCCAAGTCTTTGCTATCGTGAACAGTGCTGCAATAAACATACGTGTGCATGTGTCTTTATAGTAGAATGATTTATAATCCTTTGGATATATACCCAGTAATGGGATTACTGGGTGAAATGGTATTTCTGGTTCTAGAACCTTGAGGAATCACCACACTGTCTTCCACAATGGTTGAACTAATTTACACTCCCACCAACAGTGTAAAGGCGTTGCTATTTCTCCACATCCTCTCTAGCATCTGTTGTTTCCTGACTTTTAATGATTGCCATTCTAACTGGTGTGAGATGGCATCTCATTGTGGTTTTGGTTTGCGTTTCTCTAATGACCACAGCTGATGAGCTTTTTTCATGTATTTGTTGGCCACATAAATGTCTTCTTTTGAGAAGTGTCTGTTCATATCCTTCGCTCACTTTTTGATGGGGTTGTTTGTTTTTTTTCTTGTAAATTTGTTTAAGTTCCTTGTAGATTCTGGATATTAGCCCTTTGTCAGATGGATAGATTGCAAAAATTTTCTCCCATTCTGTAGGTTGCCTGTTCACTCTGATGATAGTTTCTTTTGCTATGCAAAAGCTCTTTGGTTTAATTAGATCCCATTTGTCAATTTTGGCTTTTGTTACCATTCCTTTTGGTGTTTTAGTCATGAAGTCTTTGCACATTCCTATGTCCTGAATGATATCGCCTAGCTTTTCTTCTAGCATTTTTATGGTTTTATGTCTTACATTTAAGTATTTAATCCATCTTGGGTTATTTTTTGTATAAGATGTAAGGAAGGGGTCCAGTTTCAGTTTTCTGCATATGACTAGCTAGTTTTCCCAACACCATTTATTAAATATGGAATCTTTTCCCATTGCTTGTTTTTGTCAAGTTTGTCAAAGATCAGATGGCTATATTAGTGTGGCATTATTTCTGAGGCCTCTGTTCTGTTCCATTGGTCTATATATCTGTTTTGGTATCAGCACCATGCTATTTTGGTTACTGTAGCCTTGTAGTATAGTTTGAAGTCAGGTAGCCTGATGCCTCCAGCATTTTTCTTTTTGCTTAGGATTGCCTTGGCTATACGGGCTCTTTTTTGGTTCCATATGAAATTTAAAGTAGCTTTATCTAATTCTGTGAAGAAAGTCAATGGTAGTTTGATGGGGATAGCATTGAATCTATAAATTACTTTGGGCAGTATGGCCATTTTCACGATATTGATTCTTCCTATCCATGAGCATGGAATGTTTTTCCATTTGTTTGTGTCCTCTCTTATTTCCTTGAGCAGCGGTTTGTAGTTCTCCTTGAAGAGGTCCTTCACCTCCCTTGTAGGTTGGATTCCTAGGTATCTTATACTCTTTGTAGCAATTGTGAATGGGAGTTCACTCATGATTTGGCTCTCTGTTTGTCTGTTATTGTGCTTGTACTTTTTACACATTGATTTTGTATTCTGAGACTTGGCTGAAGTTGCTTATTAGCTTAAGGAGATTTTGGGCTGAGACGGTGGGGTTTTCTAAACATACAATCATGTCATCTGCAAACAGAGACAATATGACTTTTTGTCTTCCTATTTGAATACCTTTTATTTCTTTCTCTTGCCTGATTGCCCTGGTCAGAACTTCCAGTACTATGTTGAATAGGAGTGGTAAGAGAGGGTATCCTTGTCTTGTGCCAGTTTTCAAAGGGAATGCTTCCAGCTTTTGCCCATTCAGTATGATATTGACTGTGGGTTTGTCATAAATAGCTCTTATTATTTTGAGATACGTTCCATCAATACCTGGTTTACTGAGAGTTTTTAGCATGAAGGTGTGTTGAATTTTATCAAAGGCCTTTTCTGCATCTATTGAGATAATCATGTGGTTTTTGTCATTGGTTCTGTTTATGTGATGGATTACATTTATTGATTTGTATATGTTGAAGCAGCCTTGCATCCCAGGGATGAAGCTGACTTGATCATGGTGGATAAGCTTTTTGATGTGCTGCTGGATTTGGTTTGCCAGTATTTTATTGAGGATTTTCGTATTGATGTTCATCAGGGATATTGGCCTACAATTTTCTTTTTTTTGTTCGGTCTCTGCCAGGTTTTGGTATCAGGATGATGCTGGCCTCATAAAATGAGTTAGGGAGGATTCTCTCTTTTTCTATTATTTGGAATAGTTTCAGAAGGAATGGTACCAGCTCCTCTTTGTATCTCTGGTAGAATTCGGCTCTGAATCTGTCTGGTCCTGGGCTTTTTTTGGTTGGTAGACTATTAATTACTGCCTCAGTTTCAAAACTTGTTATTGGTCTATTCAGGGATTCAACTTCTTCTGATTTAGACTTGGGAGGGTGTATGTGTCCAGGAATTTATCAATTTCTTCTAGATTTTCTAGTTTATTTGCATAGAGGTGTTTATAGTGT